>NC_000023.11:32137488-32287844 GCF_000001405.40 Homo sapiens
AGTGAATGACTGATAAGGAGAACCTGGCCAGGCATTAACAGGGGATGGCCTTTCATTGAGTAAAAGATATTCCTTCCAGAGTAGAGCTGGTAAAGCCGAAGAGAACTGTATTCAAATGAAAGTATAGTTTTTTTTTTCAACTTTAATTTTGGACTAGGGAGTACCTATGCAGGATTGTTACATGGGTATGTTGCATGATGAAAAGCAAAGTTTTTGATTTCAGGTTTTTGGAGAAACAAGAGTGCCTCGGAGCTGTCCATGGTGCTGCATGAGACCAGGCCTTCATTCTGCAGAATTCCTGCCTCTTGAAAATTCTCTAGGCCCTGACTTACAACCCTGTTTGCTGTATGGTTAACCTGCCAACCCTGCTATGTCCCCTATAAGTGATTATTTAACATAATCTATAATTTCAGTACTAAATATTTCATGACTAATTATAACAGCTCTCTATGTTTCCCTGGGTGATATCACCACACATTCCAATTTGGCAGATCTCGGTGGGCCCAGGAATTTGTATGCAAATATACATCCTCATATAATTCTTATGAGGGACTAAAGTCCTGCTTAGACTCTAGTCTTCCCAAGGTCGCCCACCTTAATCCCGAGCCAACTCGTCCCCAGTTGGAGACAAGAGCAGAAATTTTGATTCCACAAAGCTGTTTGATTAGGCCTCACATACATCATCTGGAATCACACAACTGAAGCTTCATTTATGACACTGCTACAGTGTACCAATTCCTTTCCCTATATATTTTTTCTTTTTTTCAAATCCTATTTATCCTACTTCAAATCTCTATAGCACCATATTTAGAGTCATTCAGATCTTGATTTGAATCAATAACTACATTGAAACAACTCACTTAACCCTATATTCAAGCCTTCATGAATTCACCTGTCAAATGAAAAAAATAACACCTACAGCTTTGCAGAATTATTTTCAGGGTAATATGAGACATGGTTTCTAACTCAGCTAGCACATTATCTGATACACAGTTGCTCTACTTGCATGTGAGTTCTGTTCCCTTTCCTTCTCTAAATCTTTTTTAAATTCTTGCATCATTTATTACTTTATTTCATCTAATGAACTCTTGTTTCTATCATTTGTCTCATCAACTAGCTTTCCAGATCCTTGACTAATAAAGATAGATATTGCATACTAAGTGTGTGGTGGATGGTTGCCAAGACCTGCACAGAGCACTTTACATATCTTGGCCATGAGGACTCAAATATTGAGAGGCAGAGTTGGAATTCTGAATCTCAAGCTACAGCTCCTGTCATGCCATACTACAGTCTATTACCATTCCATTTCCTCCAACTGTGCCTAAGCTAAGTGCCTGGTATGTGGATTAACTGCTATCAGAGTCTTTTTTACTGTAATGGAGTAGATGCATTGTCTATATCCTATTTGCTGCATCCACATAATTATCAGTCCGTTCAAAAAGCATAGCCAATTGCTCTATCACTTAGTAAACGACTAACTTAGACCACTGGACGGAACTTTTTTTGGAAACCAAAAGAAAACAGCTCCTAAATTGCTGTACCTGCTCTCCTCAGATTATTATGTGCTGGAAAATCGGAGACGATTATTCATTCTCATACACTTCACATTTTCCAGAATGGAAAATTAAGTAGCAAAGGCAGATGTCCCCTGTTGGGGCAACGATTGAGCTGGATATAGAAGACTCATATCCTGTTTGCTAAACTGGGCTGTTCTTACTATTCTCAACATGTTCACATCATCATAATAAAACAAGCGCCCCTTAAGACACCATAAATATTACAATCTCAGTCAATATATTTATAGAGTCAGGAAGAGTTGGATATTCTCATATTCATCAACTGTAATTCATCAGGATTATTATAGTTAGGGAGGGAAACCCAAAGTTATGACACTGAAAGACATGATCAGTGAGTTTTAATAACTCAAAACATACTTGCTATATAACACAGGAATGGCTTTTGACACATTTGTCATTACTTTATAAAAATAATCCTTTAAGTTACTTTGTGGTGATGAAACACTTCTTTATCTTGATAGTGGTAGTAACTATATAAATCTATAGACATGGTTAATGTCATAGAATAACAGATAATGACTCACAGTAAAAGAGCATGTGCAAAAACAGGTGAAATCCAAGTAAGGTCTACAGTCTAGTTGATTGCACTGTGCCAATGTCAGTTTATTGGGTTTGGTAATATACTGTATTTGGTTAATATGTAACTGGGGAAAGTTGGGTTATGTATACACAGGAAATCTCTGTACTGTTTTTGCAACTCCTTGTGAGTCTATGAATATTTCACAATAAAAAAATCTTAAAACATTCTTAAAACTTTATAGAAATTTTGCCTGCCTTCAAAGAGACTGTAAGGGAAAATAGAGAAAGAAGAGAGAAAATTAAAATGTCTGGCTAATTCCTAATAGGAAGTTTTCTTTATTTTTATACAAGAAACGGAAAACATAGTTGCTATATCAACAGGATTTTAGTCTATTTTCTTCACAAAGCTGAAGAAGGTGTGAATGACTTTTCTCTGTGCAAGTGAATAATATACTAAAATTACTTGTTCCACCCTTGTTTTTGTCTTGTTTACATCCTACTTCCATAAACCTGCCAATATTTAGTCACTAATCTTAAGCTATGACAGAATTTAAAACAGATTCAATGATATGATTTGAATTCACCTTATGTAAGATATTGTAAAGCAATATGATGCCACAACACACATCTAGAAAACTGTGTCTTCTCTCAAATGGAACTGAGTTGTTCCTAAGATGTTTAACTAAAGTGATTAAATGGGCTGAATTATAACATATTGATTTTTAAATGGTCTAGCCACATTTGCATTGTTAATTTTTTACAAGATTGCACCATAGATATAAATCACTGACAAAATATTTTAAAAGTAGCATACAAAAATCGTCAACACTGGGATAAAATTTAACTTTCAAAATTAAAATAATCTTAGAAAATTCAGTTATCCAAAGGCATTAAGCAATGACTTTTCAAAGTTGATAAGGATATAGTTTCTATTGTGAAAGTCTATTAGACAAGTACTTTTCAAAATTATATAGGTTATTGTATTAGTCCGTTTTCATGCTGTGATAAAGACATACTTGAGACTGGGAAGAAAAAGTAGTTTAATTGAACTTATAGTTCCACATGACTGGGGAGGCCTCAGAATCATGGTGGGAGGTGAAAGGCACTTCTTACATGGAAGCAGAAGAGAAAATGTGGAGACGCAAGAGCAGAAACCCCTGATAAAACCAACAGATCTCGTGAGACTTATTCAGTACCATGAGAACAGTATGGGGGAAACCGCCCCCATGATTCAAATGACCTCCCACTGGATCCCTCCCACAACAAGTAGGAATTATGGGAGTAGAATTCAAGATGAGATTTGGGTGGGGACACAGCCAAACCATATCAGTTATTGAAGGAAAAATGGAAGCAAGGCATTTTCACCACCAAATTTTGCTCAAACAAGGCAGATATAACCTGCAGCTGCAGAACAATTAGGTTTATGTTTTTGAGAAGTTTATAGTTAAAAACATTTGATACATTGCTCTGCATGGTACATAGGAGTTTTGGTCACCTCATTGTTAAGCCCATTACTCCCTATGCAGTAACATTTAATATTTTTAAATGAATAAAAATAAGGTCAGGTGCAGTGGATCACACCTATAATCCCAACACTTTGGGAGGCTGAGTCGGGTGGATGACTTGAGGCTAGGAGTTCGAGACCAGCCTGGCCAACATGGTGAAACCCCGTCTCTACTAAAAATACAAAAAAAAAAAACAAATAGCCTGGCGTGGTTGTGGGCGCCTCTAATCCCAGCTGCTTGGGAGGCCGAGGCACAAGAATCACTTGAACCCGGGAGGTGGAGGTTGCAGTGAGCCGAGATCATACCACTGCACTTCAGCCTGGGTGACAGAGCGAGACTCCGTCTCAAAACAAAAACAAAAACAAAAACAAAAACAAAAACAAAAACAAAACACGTTAATTCTCTTCTAAATGGCCTCAGTGTGCTCTCTTTACTCAATGGCAATTAGTATGCACAACCCCAAACCTGCAATTTTTATTCTCCTTTGCTCTCTGTGCCTCCTAAAACATCTTATTCCTATTTTTAAAGAACTATTTTTAAAATTTTATTTATAAGAAAAAATCCAGAATTCAATATAATATAGAGTGCAACACACACACACACACACACACACACACACACACACACACACACACGATCTTGCATGGTTTCTCAAATAATAGACACTCATGTAGAAAGCCTTAATTTTAATTTAAAAATTAACACTCTGGAAGTTACACAAGAAATGATGGGCCTTGGGGCCTTTTGTGAAAATGGCAAGATAACAAGGCAGGACAAGAGAGATGGAGATAACAGACACAATGAATATGTATCAGATTTCGTTGATACGTTCATTCTTTTTTCTACAAATAGACATTGAGGGCTCACTATATCCCTTGCGCTGCTACACACGGGGGATATGCTGATGCAAACACTGGCAACATACCTTCCTTCATGGTGCTTACATCATAATTGCAGACTCAGACAAAAACAAGGCAGGAAACAGAAACAAGGAGCTGAGCTATAGAATAATGTTAGAGGATGGTGCAAGGGGGGTAGACAGCCCTCTCCAGGACTCTCCTTGGAGAGGATTACCTACCCAAAGCCCTGAGGCTATATAGAAGACACGATTGCAGAGGAGGATGTCTACTCCAGAGAGACACTCTGCAAATTGTATTAAAACTTCCCACATCAAGGGGGATTTGCTGACTCTCCTTTTGTTTGAATATTGTCAGAAGACTACATAGGAAATGGTCCATCCTTCCTCACCAACCTTTACGGCCCTTCCATCCTCTGAGAAAAAGAGAGGTTTTGACAAAGGGCTTTAAAGTTTCATTGTTTTACTTGCACTTGCTGAGTCCCCTTGGGGATTTTATCTACACTATCCATCTCACAGAAAAGTCGAGAGCATTAAGCAAAGTAACGGTTAAGAATATGCACTGAATATCATCCCTTCTTCATTAACACAGGACATTATAATTTTAAAACATCTGACTAAGTCCATGATAATATGGAACCATTCCTATCCTTCTCTGCACAAAGGAGGAGAAATATCTGTACAGTCTTTGAACTTAGTTAGATATGGGTCTGAATTTCAGATATTTTACTCCATGCTACGACCTTGCAAAGCTTACCTAAATTCTGAACCCCAATAAACTCATGGATACATTAAAGTAAAAGCTCTGTGCATGCTTGTTAGAATAGCACACTATACATTTACCAAATGGCAAAGTGCCTGGCATGGAGAATGATAGTTATAGTCATAAACACTAGCATCGTCATAATTGAAGAAATTACTGTCCATGGGATCTAGTCAATCATTGAGTATTCACTCAGCATTCAAGACTGATATTTTATCTGAATTCCACAAATCACCCTTCACTCAACACGGTTTTCTTATCATCATCCTTCAGGTAGAGCCCCTCCATCCTATCTCTGGATTTGCATACACTGTTTGGAATATCTTTACCATTTTCTTTTCATCAGATATCGACAACTTTTATAGGTCTACTAGATCATGAAATCAAGGGTTATGTTCATGTATTACTTGGTTTTTGTTCTGTCCTCAGCACCCACCACAAGGCCCTGTATTTTTAAAGGAGCTCAATATAAATATATTGAATGGAATTAAATGCCATTGCTAAAGTTTTCCTCCTCATGTTAATCTTTACCCGTGTAAAAGAAACTATCCTTTACCTAGTTACACAACTTCATAATAATTTATTACTCTGAATTTTCACAAGAACTTTTGACTTAACCACTCATTTAAAAAAAATCTGCAGATAATCCTGTAATATATTTCTCCAGCACAGTTCACCCTCATGAAGCAGGCAGTATTGAGCAAGAGGCTAGGCTCACTGGTTAGACAAGTAATTGACCCCTCACATTAAATCCATGCAATCTAAATAATGAACACTAATTGTATGCTGTAGGCTGCCAGGGTCTCTCGCTGTAGTTAAAAGTAAAAATACATTTTTTTTTTTTTTCTTTTTGAGATGGAGTCTCCCTCTGTCGCCCAGGCTGGAGTGCAGTGGCCTGACCTCTGCTCACTGCAAGCTCCGCCTCCCGGGTTCACGCCATTCTCCTGCCTTAACCTCCCGAGTAGCTGGGACCACAGGCGCCCGCCACCACGCATGGCTAATTTTTTTTTTTTTGTATTTTTTAGTAGAGACGAGGTTTCACCGTGTTAGCCAGGATGGTCTCGGTCTCCTGACCTCGTGATCCGCCCGCCTCGGCCTCCCAAAGTGCTGGGATTACAGGCGTGAGCCACCGTGCCCGGCCACAAATACATCTTTATATGTTTACTGTCTACTAGATACTGAAGACTGTCATTCACTAACTGGTCACTGTGTATAACTAAATCCTTGTATTTCAATGTGATTATGAGGCCCAAGAAAATATGTTTCGTTCTGGGTACCTAATAAACTCTTAAGACTTGCCCATCTCCCACAAACTGTAGGCAAATAATTCTTCTAATCTGCTTTTATTTCTTTATTAAGATAAAGCATTTGAGGTCACAATGTTCTATGGAAATCTAGAAATTCCTAAGGCAAAATCTAGGTGACACAATTATAGAAGATGCCGCAACTGATTTCCCTCAAGCACATTTCTGTTGCCATAGAATCATCTCAAATCTGCCAACTTTGAAGCTGAACTCCTCTCCATTCCACTCATATGGATTCTCACATGGGTTTTAGTAGAAAAATTTAAACTATTAGAACATGGACTGATTTTTCTCTGGATTATTAAATGAGAAGGGTCTGGATTCCCCATTACTTTTCTAATTAAAATAGTATCAAAAGCAAAGACAAACCAATCCTCAGCATGTATATTACAGAGAACCTGTTACAGAGACATTATCAAGGCCATATTTTTGGTAAAATTACTTAAAATCTGATTGAATAAAAGTTGCCTCTAATTCGTTTATATTAATAGCACTTTAAAGTAATACATACGGATACAACTTTAAAAAGTTGGGATTTATCTTATTATTATGTCCTGTTAAAATACGCTTATAAGGAAGACCAAAAAGAGTACACTGATGAGGATCTTTGAGAAAATTAAAAATGAAAACAATAATAAATAAAATTGTCATGGCTAAAAAGCATATTTAGTCTTCATGATGTTAAACTATTATGCAATTAGGCAAGGACATTCTTGTCTTTCAAAAATAAAATTCACGGGCTGGGCGCGGTGGCTCACGTCTGGAATTCCAGTGCTTTGGGAAGCTGAGGAGGGTGGATCACCTGAGGTCAGGAGTTCGAGACCAGCCTGGCCAACATGGTGAACCCCTGTCTCTACTAAAAATACAAAAAATTAGCCAGGCGTGGTGGTGCACATCTGTAATCCCAGCTACTAGGGAGGCTGAGGCAGGAGAATCGCTTGAACCTGGGTGGTAGAGGTTGTGGTGAGCCGAGATCGCACCATTGCACCCCAGCCTGGGCAACAAGAGTGAAACACCGTCTCAATGAATCAGTCAATCAATCAATCAAATTCACACTTTGAAATCTATTTTTTGAAAGTATATAATCATAAATGAAAACCAAACAAAACCCTCACTGGCTAAAACAACATGATGGAAACATAAAAGTGACAAAGTTTAAGACCCATGACACATGTATGTAAGTTATTTCAAAAGAGATCACTGTTAGAAATTTGCTGGAAGTGTTTTTGTTACTGTGAATAATAACACAATTTTTGTAATTTGCAATACATCATAGATAAGGCATATACACACATAAACATTGTGAATAGTGGTAACACATTCAGTTATTGGGGCTTTCACTATAATATGCCTGGGTGTGCCTCCAACGGATGCTAAATTTAGTGCATTTGAAGTCTCTTGGAAAAAAACAGTCCCAAGGAGTTTGAAAGGGAAGGTGTTTTAAGTTCAGCACAGCATGCTCCTTGCAGCAGCAAATGTGTCTGAAAGCTTCTTGCTCTGTTGCACTGTGAGAGAACTATATTAAAATGTGTTAATAGTAGAAAGAATAAGTTCACCTCAAATACTATATTTCCTTGATTTTTGAGACAACAGTGATTTCCTGTATGTTAAAAATTATAGAGAGCAAAATACAGCCATTTCACGCTAATTTATTATCTCCATGTGAATGTGCATTTACATTTTAGATAATATATAGATTACTTGTGAATTATAAGCCTTAAAATGAATTCAAACATGTCAGTAGGAAGAAGCTACCATATTACAGATTCTTGAAAATCACAAATTGAAATTACCTAATGATATGATTATAATTTAATACTAGTATCAAAGGTATTTTTCCTATTATTTTATTTTACTAATTACTGTAAACTATCGGTAGGATTATAGGAGCAAGACGTCAAGATATTTATTAACCATACTAATTTTTTATTGGAAGCCATATTAAATTTAACCTGTAAAATGAGAAAAATAAAAATAGTAACCTCATAGATTGTGGTAAGAGTCAAATGAAATAACTTACATGAAATTGCTTTGTAAGTTTTATAGGGCTGCCATGTTTTGATTGTATGATACTATGTATCCCTACTGTTTAGGACATCTCTTCCTGTTTAGGACATCTCTTTCATATGTGCAGAGACCTGTGTTTACTGCTTTTTTTATTCACAATGTGGTCTTTTGTTACCATAAGTTAATGAAAACATTTTTCAGTCTTGTAATTTATAAAATGTTAGTGTTATTAACAACTATACATAGATGATAGAGATAGATAGATGATAGATAAACCGATCCATCGATAGATAGATAAGTAAAGGAGAGTGACAGAGACAGGGAGAGGGAGAGGGAAAGGGAAAGGGATGGTGGGAGAGAGAGAAGTAACTGAGTGGATGGATGGGTAGATGAATAAGTGGATGGATGGATGGAAGGAGACAGGTAGACAGCCAGATGGGTATATATGGATAGATAGCGTATGATCTTTGTCCTATTATTTAACTTCCCTTGCTTCAATTTTAGAAGATATAAAATAGGATAACAAGAGTACCTATCTTATAGGATTGCTATGAGCATTAAGGTAGTTAAGCCTGACACATACTAAGAGCTCAGCAAGTGTTAAGTATTTTTCACTGTAGTTGGTATTTGGCTCTTAAAGAATCTGTCACATATTTCTATACAGTTTTTAAATTCATAGATTAGATGTAGCCTAATAATGAGAGCAATCATCCATTAAGCACCCTCTATGTGTCTAAACGCAGATGTTTTACATACCGTAAGTCATATAACATGAGAATAAACCTTTAAGACACTTACTGCTCTCCCCATTTTACAGATGAGACAACCAAGACTTAAAGTATTGCCCAAGGTCTTAGAGTTGGTAACTTGCAAAGGCAAGAACAATGACCACAAAACCAGAACAACTGACAGCAGAGTATCTGTTCCAGCTCCAATAATTACTGGCTACATCAGTTCTGTGGGTCCCTTCATGATGGTACCTATACCTCTAGAGTTTAAAAATAAATTATCGTTTAATTTTTGCATAAACTCTATGATGTAAGTCAATAATAATTCCTCTTCTTTCTTAACTCACTAGCATACTGTAATAAACATCCATATACCCACCATGCAGATCCCAGCAATTATAAACTCAAGGGCCCATATGGTTTCATCTACATCCCACCAAGCGCAACCCACCCCTAAACCTAGCTTTGTATTATTTTGCAAGTGACCTAAGTGATCCTTCTTTTGCTGCTTGGAATACCAAGTTAATGAGTTATTTCATGTGAGATAGCTAATAAATCACAAAGCTGTTGCTTGAGAATAGGTGTCCCAATATTGCTGTGTTTCATTTTCATTCTATGATAGGTAGCGTTTTTATGATATATGTCATTGGCAGCAAAAAATTATATACTTTACTGATTGACATATGACTTCTGGTGAACGCTTAAAATACTTGATTTTGTTTTTATATACATATGTATGTATGTATAAGCAAAGATCATCCCATATTCCTATTAAATAGATAAGTTGATATTTGACAAATACACTGACTTTAGAAAAAATATGAAATCAAATATAAAATAATACAGCTGTGTACGGTACATTGTGATGTTAACATAAAAGAAGTAGTGAACAGGAATTTGTGTATGTGTGTATTTTTGTATGTCATATATGTTTGTTAGCATAGAAAAAGCAGCCAGAAAGTTACACACCAAAATGTTAATTCTGGTTTCCAACTGGCACTTAGATTTTCTAGTATGCTTAGGTTTTCATATTAGCATACTGATAAGAAAGGTATCCTTGAGTCTTACTGTTTGGGTCTGAATTCCCATTTTGCCATTTTCTAACTGTATACACTCAAAAAAATTTCTTCTTTTTTTTTTTTTTTTTTGAGATGGAGTCTCGCTCTGTCACCCAGGCTGGAGTGCAGTGGCGCGATCTCGGCTCACTGCAACCTCCACCTCCCGGGTTCACGCCATTCTCCTGCCTCAGCCTCCCGAGTAGCTGGGACTACAGGCACCCACTACCACGCCAGGCTAATTTTTTATATTTTTAGTAGAGACGGGGTTTCACCGTGTTCGCCAGGATGGTCTCGATCTCCTGACCTCGTGATCAGCCCGCCTCGGCCTCCCAAAGTGCTGGGATTACAGGCGTGAGCCACCGCACCCGGCCAAAAAATTTCTTATTTATACCTCTACTTCCTCATTTCTCATATAGAAGTAATAGTGCCATCTACCTTACTATTTAGAAGACTCAATTAATCCATGTAAGTTACTTAGACCTGTCATTTTAGATATTATTATGACTACATCAGAAGATATTATGTTAGTAATAAGAAAAACATTGTTAAAGAATTTGAAAATAAGGAGAATAAGATTTGTTAAGGTATTTTGAAAATTAATTTTAAATTGTTGTTTTGTTAGTTAGTAGGGTCTTAAAATCCTTCATATCACCTCCAATAAGCTTCTGAGAAATAAATAAATATAAGACTCTACATATCCCATTTCAGGGATGACTTACAGAGGGACTTAATAAAAATGCAGAATAAACTATTGTTTTTGTTTTGTTTTGTTTTACCAGAATATCTCCCCTTTGATTAAAAAAAAAAAGATTATTGTAAAAGATGATGCTCTAAGTCTGCTTTACACTGGCAGGCCATAGACATTCATAAATAAATTCCTACAAAATGAAATAGGAATTAATCCTTGTACAAATACTATAGCTAACTAAGTACAGTTTCTAGAAGTATATTTTGAAATGAAATTTATGTATATCACTGGTGATAACTTGTACTCATTTAAATGCTTCTGAAGCATTCTCTTCAGAAGTTAATAACTTTTCTAAAATAAGTCAAATCATGCAATTTGACGAATATAAATTGCAGCAATTTTACCATTGCTAAAATGGTTTCCGAGCATTACAAGAAGAGTTCACTTGGCTACTGTCTTTACACTGAATACTTTGATGAGGTTACAATAATAAAGTGACAAAGTGATATGCATTTTCTTTTATACCATTTTCTTTAAAAAAAGGAGTCCTTAATTTTTTCTAAGAACTCCAAAATATGAAAGTAGAAAAAGGCAGCTATGACTGAATACATTTCAAGAAAAATGTCATTCATCTTTCTTAAATTGATCTGCTGAGTCCAGCAGAAATGTCTCCAAGGTTTTCTCGTGACGAGCCAAGGCTAAAGGGATACACGGAGCCAGCAGTTAGAGGCATCTAGTGGGGCACCGGTTAATTAACTTTTTCTTCTATGCTTCAAGTTTCAATGCCTATACCAATACCTTTTGTTCTTTGCATAGGATATTATGCACCGAAAATGAAACAATACTCATAAAAACAGCTAATATTTAATGAGCATGAGTAATTGCCAATTGTGATTCTCAACACTTGGCATATATCATTTCATTCGTTTTTAAGTCTACTCTATGAGATAAGTAGCATTATTGTGCTGATTTTACAGATGCAAAACTGTGGCCCAGAGAGGTCAATAGAATTTCAGGTGTACAGATATAAAATATTCATGAACCATAATATCCTAACTATGGTATAAATATAATATGCCATAAAATAGGCACGTGGTAAGTGTTTGCTGACTAAAGATTGAAGAATGTGTTGTAATGGAGTCTATTAATTAAAGACAGGGAATTTGGACCCAGAAAGATTTGGCTTGGTCTTATATTGGCCATCTACTAAGACAGTTTGGAAACTTTATCAATAAAGTTTCTATTTTAGAGAATATCTTAGTTTGGGTTCCCTAAATGGAGGTTCTGAGATGAAGCTTCATGCAAAAATGATCTAATGGGATGTGTTTTCAAGAAACACTGGTAAGGGAAAATGAAGTGAGATTGGGAAGGGAAACAGACCAAACACATATATGGCATAAAAGCCCAGGGTGGCAGTGCCATTCACACTTCTGAATTTCTCAGTTGGGAACAAGAAAGCTCACGTATTTATGTGTCTGCAACCAGCAGTCATTGATTAAGGGCTTCCCACACACAGGGACATAAATTCCAGGATAGATCCATCTCTCTCTTTACACAGACCAAATAGGCTCTGGCAGCCTCAAGGCCACCCTCCAACAGAGCGATTAGGGAGCTAGTTGTTGGGAGTAAAAGCACAGCAGGGAAAATGTTAAACGGATGTGAAAGGATATGAGTGGATCAATGACAGCATCTCTACAGAGAACTTGTTTCTTCATTCAGGAATAAAAATAACGTGGAAAGTTATGAGGATAAAACAGGGTAATGTGTTCAAAGCCCTTAGCCTGGGCACTGGCACACAGCAACACTCACTGGCACTCTCTTGTTGTGAGGATGGAATGTAATACTGTGAAGAACTGACAGCACCTGGCACATGAAAACATCAGATAGCTGGCATTGCCAATCATTTTTCCTATTGCAGTTGCCGGTGCCGCTGGTGGTGGCATACCTAAATTAGAATAACACTGCTATATTTAACTCCAAAGTCTGTAAAATGCTTGAATACCTGCCACCGTCTGTGGAGGTGAGGGTGCTCGTTCAGGACCTGAACACCATAGAAGAAGCAATTTTCTCACCATCTTTATTGCTACCATGGTATTAGGTAAGAACCTCAGGATGCAAGAACAAAAGGCAGCACCTTTTTTGCTATCACATATGAGATGCTGAATTTATTGATAACAGTATTAAGGAGAATGGCAGCTGAAAGGAAATTTCTGATATTTCTTTCATGATCCTCCCAGATTTTGACATTCCTTTCAAAATTATTAGTGAGAGCAATCAGTAAGTGTCTTCTGCTACCAAAAATGTGAGCCCTTGCTTGAAACATCTTTAGGTAAGTAAAGTCAGCCCCTAGGAAAGCACTTAAGCAAAAGGCTAGGGAAAGAGAGCTATATCAGGTCCAAACTACCGTGCTGCTACTCCTCACTCTTGGAAGAAAATTTAGGCCTTTGCAATGAAAATTAATGGAGAAGCACATGACACCTAAATGTTAATATTAAGGGAGGGGATAGGGAGAATATGATATATTTCTCTATGTGACTCCATCCTGTTTCATTTGTTCTAGTGAGTACATATTACTATTATACTTTGTGTGTAAGATAAAAGAAAGTTTAAAAAAAGAAAAATTGAAGTTATTTTAGAACAGATCAAACTGCTTATGAGAGGCTTACTACCTTTTAAAATATTATTTTGATTAAACTAAAAATAAATTCTTAAAAACCCAGCCAAGGTAAGAAAAGAAAATAGTTTTCCTTCTCATGCTCTCAAACTAAGAGTATACATAAATTGGCTAAGAAACGGATAGGATGACTCCCCTTTTTCCAGGGACAAGAGTGGGTTTAGGAGATAATCCAGTTCTCTAGTTATATACTTGTTTAAAAACCAGATGAGGAGATCACTTCCTCACCCGTCTTTTGCCTCTGGAGGCAAAAGGTATGGTCAGAGTTCAGTGACAAAGTGACAATCATCAAGGGAGTTTAGTCAGCTGAGGTTATGTTTCTCTAGGCATTCTTATACAGTCAGACCATGAAACAAGACTACTGCTTCCAGGAAATGCCACAATACCTCCTTATTATTTACATTTCTGGAAGCAAAGGCAGCAGAATTTAGCCACTGGAGTCCTCTCCACTGTCTTCTCTAGTACAGGTAGTTCCTGAACATTACTCCAAATCTACAGAGACCCTTATTGACAGATATTACAGAGATACTCACCAACATGCCAGCGAAACATGGTTTATTGTTTTTTGTTTTTTATTGGCTATTGTAGTTTTACTTATCCTCATCTATTTTATTAGGGTCTTGTTGAGTCTTCACTATCGTGAGCACCTCAGTATTCCTTGTCTCCAGAAAGAAAATGTCTTGAGGTTAGAAATTGTATGTAATTAATTAATTTTCTCTTCCATCTTAAAAAAGATGGCTGTTAATTCTATACTGACATAGTATCTAATAACTGCTTCTTTATATCTTGGAGATTTTCCCTGGCATATTCAAATAAATAGCTGTTTAAATAGCCCTGACCTGTGAGTATATATGCCCTTGTACACATGAATGTATATGTAAATATGCAAAGATACAAAATGATAAATACAAAGTGAAAGGCAAATTGTTAATATATTTTAACTCATTCAACAGAAGAAAGAAGGCAGGATAACTTCCTCTATAATTTCAGGTTTTCTTCAGGATGCATACCACATATGGGCTACATTACAATGTTCCCTCCAGGTAGCAAATATGTTCAATTTTAAAGTAGACAACTGTCGGAAATTGATTTTTTAAAGATGGGGGGTGGGCGTTGAGTAAATCTATTATGCTTGTATATTGCAAATGCTGTAACTATTATTTTTTTAAAAGACTTGACTTTCACTAACAACAAATTTTCTTCTTTATATGAATATACTGATCTCCCATCGGATCATAGTGTTGGACAGTTCCTAATGTACCTTGAGATAAGAGATGCTCAAGGGTTTCATTAGATTTTTAGAGAGAGTAAAAGCCAGGCTGAAAATGTTCCTGGATTCTATATTTGTCTCTTCACTTATCTTTTTAATAACACTCACACACAGACACATTTTTATACTCAACTTCAAATAAAAGTATGCCCTGCCCTTTCTTTTGCTGATAATAAATATGTGGATGGTATAGTCTCCAGAGAGCGAAAGTGCCCTTAAACATTTGTTTTAAGATCATAAAAACTACTGTTATTTTTAAAGTAGAAAAATCCATGAATATTGAAATTGTAAAATCAAGGGAAAAGAAAATAGTTTTAAATATTTTGGGCAAAATCTTCTTAAGAAAAAGAATGTCCTATTTCCAATGACTCTGGCACGTTTAAACATAGGAAAGAATTAGAAAAACAATTTTAGTATATTTTGGACCCTTTAAAATTTAAGTAAAACATTAAGATGTATTTTATACCTTTACTTTGAATATGTGATAATTCTCCTTTACTCCATAGAATACAAAAACTCTGCAAATATCATTATCTTAAAAATGTATTTGTATATATGTGTTAAATTGAATCTTTCTAATGAGGAAAGTTAACGTTCACTCTCAGGTTGTTCTTATCAGATGAGTTTGTAGTTGTATTATGAAGAAACAACACATTCCTTACTGACGTCTCTATTAGCTTAGTTATTTCAGTTGAGAACAAGGGAAAACATAAGAATGGTATTATTGGAGTGTATTGCTATACATTTTATTCACATCACAGTATTTTATATTTCTCTTTTTTTAAGTTTGTACACAGACAATATCTCTGGAATTATTTTTATTAAGGGATATTTAATGATTAAATAAGCACTCTTAGCGAAGACCTTTAAGTGTTATTTTTTACCAAATCGTATATAGCTTCCACATACAATGCAAACATTCCAGTACTGCAGATAATATACAGGGGTACACAGGTTTGAAGTAGTGGAGAGACTGATGGACCATAAGCCATAAATCTTTTTAAAAAAATCACCAAAATCTCAGCTATAATCTTGATCATACAAAATAAAAAGAGGAGCTCTAAAGAAATAAAGCAAAAAAAAAAATTTATAATCCACATTACTGCAATCATCTAGTTTGTGAAAGAAGAGTATGTATTTTAAATTAAATCCTTAATGATTTGATATTTTGTTTTTGGAACTTCACAACCAAGACTATCCTAAGGAATTCAGAGCTTTCCTCACAAGACCAAAGCAACAGTGCATGAAATTGAACTCAAAAAGAGCCACCATTCTGTGTGACTTCTTGGCTGACACAATTTAGATATTTATAGCTTTACGAATGGGCCACTGGAGAAGAACTTGAAGCTTTCTCTAGCCAGGAAGGATTAATGAACGTGCGCACCTGGTAATTACACCACTCCATCTTCCTGAAAGCCCTCACGCTGCCTCCATGGCAGAAACTATAATGAAAATGCATTGAAAAATATCAATCTGCAATTCTACAATTAAATCTAAATAATAAAACTTGGTATCTTTTCTCCCCACACATTCCAGATGTGATAAAACACAGACAGCATTTAAATTTAAAACATAGAAGCTGAATGTCAGCCTATTTTTGAACATGCCTCATTTCCAAAGTAAACCTCACAAGAGAAAAAAGAGGTTATTAAATACAGCAAAAAATAACAACATTCAAATGTGCAACAGAGAACCCATAACTGTTTTCCCTTTATTAAAACACAGCATACACCATAAGTGATGCATTTACTTCAAAGCAGAGGCATTTCAATGATTAAATCACAACCGAAGTGTACAAAGGTAAAATTTAGAAGTGCAAAGGTATCTTTATCTTCCAAGTCCAGTTACTTGTTCTGGCTATTTTTTCTAAACTCTTACTGAAAGGAAAACCTCACTTAATAACTTTTAAAAATATAAATAAAAAATAAATCATTATCTTCTTTACATAACCGTATGTTAATTGCAAAATTACTTGAACTAAAGAGATATACGATGACATAGTATGCAACTCAAATAACTTGTTACAAAGAAATTTTCATCCTAAAACTTGAACAAATCAAACTTTTTGCAGTAGTATTTTTCTCAGATAAAACACAGTATAGAGGTTCAACCTAGTGTTTCTTAATGTGACACAAAGCAATTTGATATTCCAAGGAAGGCAGCTATGTATATATAAACTGAGAAGGCTGCTTTCAGAAAACAATCAAGGTTCTCTAAGCAAAGCAGGGTTTTATGATAAAGTTTCATGGTACTCACACTGAATTTTAATGACTGCTTTAGTAAAGCAGAAAGAGAGAAAATTTAATGTAAGCACTGATACTAAAAGTTAATTGCCGTCTTAACACACAGGCGCCAAGATTCCCCTAGCAGGAGTCTCTTAAAAAACACCTTTAAACGCAGAAGAGGGCACAAGCTTTGAAAAAAAAAAAAAATTGCCTGTTACTGTTAAACTCTATTGTTCCCTGATGGAGTATAGAAGAAAGAAATGCTCCAGGAGAGGGAAGTGGATATGAATTGCCCCCTCCAGAGGAGCCAAACAAATTGGCTGTAGGAAGACTTCAAAAGCTGGACGAACAGAGAAGCTCAAAGACCTTACAGATTTGGGCTACTTGCCCTTGCTGTGTTTTTTTTTTTTTTTTAATTTCCCCTAGAATGAATATGGTTTAACTTGAGAGCAAATAATGGAAGGATGCATTTTTAAATGCTTTGATTCCCAGCTTTTTATTCTGCCTCTAACTAGCTATTACAATACCACTTAATCCGGACCTCAGCATTCCAAGTACCAAAGCATCTCCTCCCACCCACTGCTCACACGCTCCTGCATCAGAATAGAAGACTTACAGAAAAGCTGCCAGACCCACAGAAGAGCACTTTCCTCTCAACAGATGTCTTCCAGCTTTTAGGCACACACACACTCAGACACACTTGCCTACCTTAATAAGGTGTGCAAAAACCTCTTTCGGTCCCCACGGATGCTTTTAGTTCAGAGCAGCCAGCAATGCCTCCGCACAAAGCTTTGCCATTGCTAGTGTGAAGAGAAAGAGCTGCTGGGATGCTGAATGGCACATCAGCCAACTTTGTGTGTAGCAAAGGCTCTAAAGAAATCCTGGGCTGAAACTCTGCTGGATCATGGATTGGACTCAATTTCACTCCACACACAGTCTGCATTACCTGATGGAGATTATTTCTGGAAGCACTTAGGGCATGTTTGTCTACAAAAAGATAGGGCCTTTTTCTTTCCTTAACAATTTAAAAAATACGGTAACAAACCAGAGACCTGATACTTTAAGGAAGATCATTTATTGTGAGCTCCATGAGGGCCTCAATGGTCTGTTTCGAAATTGCAGCCCCAGCATCTAGAACACAGTCAGCACTTGATAAATATTTGGCTAAATATTAAATGCTCAATTGATATCAGGTTCAAATTAGAATTTGCTAAATTATTTACACACTGTAATGAAAGTAAAAAATGCAAGGTTTGCTGAACAGCTCCAGAGGGTTAATAAGAGTGTGTGTGTGTATCCTTTTGTCATTCAACACACACACACACACACACACACACACACACACACACACACACCTGTATAGCTGATGATAAATATACATTATATCAATGAGTTAAAATAAAGTGTGCTATTCATTCACTGAGCAATGGGGCTATTGCCTGGGCACGGTGGCTCACGCCTGTAAACCCAGCACTTTGGGAGGCTGAGGCAGATGGATCACAAGGTCAAGAGATCGAGACTGTCCTGGCCAACATGGTGAAAACCCGTCTCTACTAAAAATACAAAAATTAGATGGGCATGGTGACGCACACCTGTAATCTCAGCTACTCGGGAGGCTGAGGTAGGAGAATCTTTTGAACCCGGGAGGCAGTGGTTGCAGTGAGCCGAGATTGCACCACTGCACTCCAGCCTGGCGACAGAGCGAGACTTCGTCTCAAAAAAATAAATAAATTTGTAAAAAAAGATTTAAGCAAACCCACTGATAACAATACTTAGAAAGTTTGTTGAAAACCGTATGTATTATTTGCTTATTGCCCTGACAATTTCTAATATCATAATAGTTCATTATAATAGCCCATTCCTCAGTGAATGAATAGCACACTTCATTTGAACTCATTGATACAATGTATATTTATCATCAGCTGTACAGGTGTGTGTGTATACGTATACTTTTGAATGACAAAAGGATACACACACACACACACACACACACACACACACACACGCACGCAATTATTAACCTTCTGGAGCTGTTCACCAAGCCTTGCATTAAACCTGGATTGAATAAAAGACTCCCATTCCTCAAGGAAATTTTACTTCTTCTATGAGGACTTCTCAGTAACCCTAAATTCACAGGCATATTCTTTACATGTTACTGTCCCAAAGCAAAATGCAAGCTGGCATGGAACCAAGCCCAGAGGTTAATTCCTGAAGCTAGAGGAAAAGGTTCCAAAGTGCCCTACATCCCAAGGTCGCCCAACAGATCCACACCTGGAAGCAATCTCCGCCAAGCGCCTATTTACAGGCACAGGTGTGTGCCTATCGGGACAGCTGAGGAACACACCTAATTTGATAGATGACATTCTGATGTGGCAGGCTTTATTGTGCTGTTTATGACAATATCTGCAGATTATGATGTGCTTGTTTAATAAACAGCGTAATTAAGCACACACAAAACAAAACAGGAAGTTAATACCTAAGTGGTGCTGACGTGTTTATGTACCACAACTGACTAGTGTATTCTTTACTGCCTATTACTCCACTTCTTAATATCCACTGAAGGAATCCTCAGTCTGTATACACACATCTCCAAGTTATGAACATCAACTTCATGCATATCCTCAGAAAGACCTACTTACACCTGCAGCCTCACCACATATATCTACACCCTTAACAGGCATTCAATAAATACTTGTCAAATGATCAGATAAATGATAAATGAAGGAGAAACATACCAATATTTATATCTTCAAGATTGCTCCTATGGGCATATAATTTTACAGGAGTTGCTACTTGGATTGTCTATCTTTTCAGTCTACATTTTTTCTCTAAAATATAATTGGCAGTTGCCTTATGGATAGATTAAATTTGATAGAGCCTGGTACTTGAGGTGCTATTTCAGCACCATTTCTGTAATTCTGGAACTAGTTATCAGGCTTGGCAGATGCAAATGTATGCAGTTTTGATCTTCTTCCCGACTCTCTAACTGCAGATTTTACAACTGAAGAAAGCAAGGGGAACTTTTATTTATAAATAATCGATACAATTTGTAAATAGAAATCCTTTCCCTCTGAGCAGCTCACAGCCAGCCAGCTCTCAGATGAAGGTACGTCAGCTCTCTCTTGACTAATGGTGTGGTCTGCATCATGGAGGTTACCAGACATTCCTTGGCAGAATGCAAATCAAACATCTTGAATGGCAAAAGGATCAAAGCACGGCATCTAAACATTGCTCAGACCTGCTGTTCATATTTTTATGCATCAGAAAACTTGAAAGAGAAATTAGAATTGAAAGATAATGCACCTGCACCTTCCAAAGTGTATAATATTGAGATTTTTAGCATATTTGTCCCTCTGGGATTAGTATATTTTATTCCATTGTAGGGCAGCAGCTGAACAGGGGTTTGTGGAGGCAGAAGACTTGAGAGCCTCTTGGCTCAACTACCTGTAAGCTGTTTGACCTTGTACAAGTCATTTAAACTTTCTGGCTTCAACTTCCACATCCATAAGTGGAATTAATAATACCTCATCAAGTGATGAGAATGGAATAGATATTAAAGCACTGCTCCTCAAAATTTAATGTGATACAAGCCAGGTGTGGTGGCTCACATCTGTGATCCCAGCTACTTAGGAGGCTGAGGTGGGAGGATCATTTGAGCTCAGGAGTTTGTGACCAGACTCGGCAAAATAGCAAGACCCCATCTCAAAAACAAATAAAGAAAAATGCATCGAAAGTAAAGAAAAAAGAAAAAAATAATAATTGAATACAAATGACCTTAAAAAAAGCAGAGTTTAATTCATTGGACCTGCGGTGGTGCCTGAGAGTCTCCATTTCCAATAAGCTCCCAAGTGGTACTGCTGCTCTGTGGACCCCACTGTGTGTAGCAAATATCAGTGGAAAACACTGTTATTCTTCCAAATGATAGTGAATTTGTGTCCTATTGCCATTTTTATTTGGTGCATGTTTTCCCTCAGTATCTACCCAACCGTCAATTACTAGATGCTTGTCTACGGCAGGTGATGTGCAGGACATAGATATTTTAAAGTTTACAAAGACATTGCCCTGTCCTCAGGAAGCTTTCAATCTATGTGAGAATGAAGATCACTTACCACTACAAACAGTTTGGACATGGAGGACCAAAGCTACCTACCCCTTATGCTCACATAGCTGGCTGTCGACATTAACATGGTTTACCTTTCCATTGTCTTCATTAGCATAACTTTCCTATTACAGATAACTCTTGGCCAGGCAAATAATTTGACTGTTCACTAAAGTAACTTCCCCAAACTCCCATCAACTCTTCAACAAAAAACATCAATAGAGTTCACACCTTAATAGTCTCTGAGCCTCTTGGCTAGAAATCTTCACTGTGCTGTTTCCACCAAACTAAGTTGTAATACCATGATCCTTACCCAATCCTAATTGTGCCCCCACAGTGAAAGACCAATCTTAAACCAAGCTTCATACTCCCAATGAAATCCAACCTCACCTTTCTCCTTATGAAATACTACCAAAGCTTTGTCCAGGCTGTGGTCTTTCTTACCATAGTAAGCAATAAATTTAACTTTGTCTTATCAACAGGTTGTATTGGTGATGTTTAGGGAGCTGAAATTTCCCATATGGAAGAAATAGACATGGGAATCAAACGTATGTTACAAGGAGATAAGCAGTGGTGCCAAGGGGTGGATTAAAAGACTCTAGCTCCTTTTTTGTCATAACAAATAAACATCCAATTTAATTATAATCAGTACATTTTTTCTCTGCAAACTTAGTTTAACAACAAGTCCCCTATTCTCCTCTTATTTACTCACCCAGGCATTTGGATGTTATCACTGGTGCCATCATTGATTGTGATAAAATATTTGATAAGTTTTATGTCCTCAATGCTTCATTAACAGTATAATACATGAGAGTGACATTAACCAAGATTAAGGGAGAAGGGGAAATCTTTTGGTGGTTGTGATGTCAAACCTAAAACTACATGGAGGCCCAGAATTAGGGAAAATTCAGCATCCAGACAGACAATGTAAGATCACGGTATTTTCAGGGAAAAACATGAACCGGAGCAAAAGCTCAAAATGGGGAAAGAGCGAGAGAGAAACTAAGGGTCTAAACAGTCTTTTATGTCAAGTTAAGTGGCTTATGTCTTTGCTACCCAAAGTATGGTCTGCAGGCCAAAATCATTGCTATAACCCTGAGCACTTGCTAGAAATGCAGAATCTCAGACAATACCCCAGACCTACTGAATCAGCATCAGTTAATTAAGAAAATCCCCAGGTGATTCTGATGCACATCAAAGTTTGAGAAGCACTATTCAAAATAATATGCTGGAGGCTACGGGAAGCTACTGAAGGATTTTAAGAAGGGAAGTGACATAATTGAATTTGCATTTTAGAAAAAAAATTACTCTGTGTCCATTCATTCCTTCAGGATATATATGCCAAGCATTGACCTTAGAGCTGGAAATTCAGCACTATTTTGAGTGGATTAGCTGAAACTCCCTATTCAGTATTCATTCAATGAACATTTATTGCATTCCAACTTTGGTTTTTTTTTTTTTTGTTTGCGTGTTTGTTTTTTGCTTTTTTGAAGACAGGGTCTCACTCTGTCATGTGGGCTGGAGTGCAGTGGCATGATCCCGGCTCACTGCAACCTCTGCCTCCCGAGTTCAAGTGATTCTCGTGCCTCAGGCTCCTGAGTAGCTGGGATTACAAGCATGCACCACAAAAGCCAGCTAATTTTTGTATTTTTAGTAGAGATGGGGGTTTTACCACGTTGGCCAGGCTGGTCTCGAACTCCTGACCTCAGGTGATCCGCCTGCCTCAGCATCCCAAAGTGCTGAGATTACAGGCATGAACCACCATGCCCCACCTGCTTGCAAACTTTCATTTGACTTTTCCAAAAGCTTGATTTGGAAATAATCCCACACTGATGGCTATGTTTTTAATGGAGTCAACCTTTGTTGTCCAGGACAAATAACTGTTAAGAATCTTCTAGCATACTGTACTCAAAGTCCTTAGCACTATCAGGCTGTTGGCTCAAACATGAAAGGTTTTTTTGATGTAGTTTTGTAGAATTGTTATTGCAATGGTATTTGCTGTATTGGAATTTGACCCACAGTACAAGTTATAGTACAAGATACCAATCAATATTGTTTTTTGTTAATGAACAACATAAGATGTACAGCTTGCCAAATCTAAACTTTAATATTAGAGATTATAGGATCAGTACCATTTTTTGCTAACCTATGCAGAGGATTGTCCTTTGGTGACTGAAAAGGAAAACAATAAATTCCTACTTATGTGGAGTCTCTGTCTTTTTAATAATAGTCAGTGTCTTATTGGAACTCACAAAGACTTGGTGTGAAGAGCTCTGACAAGCTAGTTAGCCTATTTTATGCTTGTTTTATTCTTGCTTCCTATATGCAAACATAGTGAAGGACAGCGGGCAATGAGCTCGCACTTCTATTTTAGCGATTCTGGGTTACTCGGGCTGCCTCTAATCTACCAAGCCAGGATTATTATAAGGAAAATAACCAATGTAGCTAAAGATAAAGTCATCACTTCCCTAACTCAATTCCTTTGTAGCTGCAGGAACACTAAATTTCATTCAGAATTCTAACTCCCAAAAAGCTGGGTAATCTAAGACCCTTAATGGTTTTCTTATAGCCTCATAGGGTTTGGCAGGTGCCCTGGACATCTGGCAGATTCCCTGAGAGAACAAAAACTCAGAAGCTACCAAAGATTGAAATACTCCCTTCAATACCCACCAACTAGGGGAGCTTATACAAGACCGTGGGTTTCTTTCTACTTTGTTCTTTTATTTACATAATAGCAATGATAATATCTTTGTTGTAGAATTACTCGGAGGATTAAATACAAGAAAATATTTACAGTACCTAGCACTTAATAAACTCTCAATATATATTAATTTTCCCCACTCCCTTCTGGGTTACTAAGACCCCTATAAAATGCAAATTTATTTACATCACAGTAGTCACTAATATTTTTGAAAAGTTGAGTTAATTGAATTAGGAAGCCTGTTATAAAGAATAAGCCCTGAGTAAAGAGGATGTGTATTATGTTCTCTAAGGTATGTGAAGTGTGTGAAAAGAAGGTCCAAAAAAGGAGGGCTTGCTTGAGATGACTGATATCCAAGAAGATAGTACACCCTAGCTGTCAGAACCATTGACTTTAAGGGCTGAAGATATCATAAAACTATCCATTTTGCAGATGAGGACACTGAGGCTAAGTTCGGTGAAATAACTTGCCTAGGCCTTAGAGTTAGAACACTAGCAAGGCAGGATTGAAACCTAGTGAATGAGAGGCTTCAAAAAGAAAGAAAACAATGTGGACACAGGGAAAAGGTGAGGGAGAGCATTAGGACAAATACCTAATGCATGTGGGGCTTAAAACCTAGATGACGGGTTGATGGGTGCAGCAAACCACCGTGGCAAATGTATACCTATGTAACAAACCTGTACATTCTGCACGTGTATCCCAGAACTTAAAGTATAATAATAAAAAAGAAAGAAGGAAAACAATGTGAAGAATGAAAGCAGGATAGGGAAGGAGGGAGCGCTACAGCTCAGGGTGAAGTCTTGTATCCCCTTTGCCTCTGTCCCCTTAGTAGTAAATATTTCTCGGGGTGAATCAGTAACATCCCTCAGCCTCTCATACAGAAGTGCCAGAGTGTGATCTGGCTATTCTGCCATTAAACATTCAAGATCCTCTACAACCATGAACATAGAAGAATGATTTATCCTTATGTTCTTGCTGTATCAAAGACTCTCAGAGATTTTCAGAGACATGCCTTTTCCATACTGATCAATGAAGATGGGTCACCAGAAACATCGTAGTCAAAGTGACAGTTTTTGTACTGCCTTCCCAGATAATTTTACAGACTGACATGAATTTGAAGCAACAAGCTTTTTTTTTTTTTTTTTTTTTTTTTTGAGGCGGAGTTTTGCTCTTGTTGCCCAGGCTGGAATGCAATGGCACAATCTTGGCTCAATTCTCCTGCCTCAGCCTCCCAAGTACCTGGGATTACAGGCATGTGCCACAACGCCCAGCTAACTTTTTTTTTTTTTGTATTTTTAGTAGAGATGGGGGTTCACCAAGTTGATCAGGCTGGTCTCAAACTCCTGACCTCAAGTGTTCCACCCACCTCAGACTCCCAAAGTGCTGGGATTACAGGCATGCAACAAGCATTTTTATGAAGACCCTGCCTGAATAGCCATTCATTCCAAGGGGACTTGAATTTGAATAATACCTCCACACAGATGACTCTCAAATCTGCATCTCTAGCACATACTTCTTCCCTGAATCCCATACTTTCATCCAACTGCACTCTTTGTGACTTTACTGGGATGTCTAACAAGATTTCAAACCTAACAATTCCAAAACAAAATTATTGCTTCCACCTTTACCCCTCTACCATCTAACTTGATCCTTCTACCATTTTCTCAATTCTATTCACCTTATCCACCTTGGACTCATCCTGGGCTCTTCTCTTTCTTTCCCACCCCATACCCCATTCATCAGCAAACCTGGTAGTGCTACCTTCCAAAAATACCCAGAATCCATGTACCTCTCATTGTTTTCACTGAAAGCTTCCTGGTTTAGAATCACCATTATTTCTCATTTGAATTATTGCAATGACTCCCTCTGCTTCAATAGGTACTCTTACTCTCTGTTCTCCACTCCGTGGCTAGAACAATTCATCTCCTTTCTTTCCCCAAATGAGTTTACTTAGAAAACTCCCTTGAAAAGACAAAATCATAGAGATGGAGAACAGATTAGGGGTTGCTAGTGATTCAGGAAGTAGAATGGGAGATTGGATGGGTGTGACAATTAAAGGGTGGCTTGAGATAGTTCCTTTGTGACGCTGGAACTATTCAGTACCATGTATCAAAATAGGGGTAGTTGTTATATGACTCTAAACATGGTATAAAATTGCATAGAATGACAGACACAGATAAGTGCATGTAAAAGCTGGTGAGATCTGAATAAGGCATAGATTGTGTTAATATCAATTTCCTGGTTTTTATATTGTGCATAGCTATGTAAGATGTGAGATCTGAATAAAGCATAGATTGTATCAACATCAATTTCCTGGTTTCCTGGCTTTGATATTACATATAATTATGTAAGATGTAACCATTAGCTGAAGATGAGTGAAGGGTACTCATGATCTTTCTTAATACTTTTGCAACTTCCTGTAAGTGTATATGTATTTCAAAATAACAAGTTTGAAAAATACTGCATATACACGGCATTCCTCAAGACTACGGATTTTCTGTTTCTTCTACCTGGAATGCTCTTTCCCCAAATATGTAAATGGATAATTTCTCCCCTTCCTTGAGATTTCTGTTCAAATGTCACCTCATAGAGGTCTGCCCAGAGTGTCATACATAAAATATCAATTTTGGCTCGGCACAATGGACCATGTCTGTAATTTCAGCACTTTAGGGGTGGAGGCAAGCAGATCGCTTGAGCGCAGGAGTTAAGACCAGTGGTACTGAGGTAGTGAGGTACTGCTATAAAGATACTTGAAAATGTGGAAGCAACTTTAGAACTGGGTAATAGGCAGGGGTTGGAACAGTTAGGAGGCTCAGAAGAAGACAGGAAAATGTGGAAAAGTTTGGAACTTCCTAGAGACTTGTTGAATGGTTTTGACCAAAATGCTGATAGTGATACGAACACTGAAGTCCAGGCAGAGGTGGTCTCAGATGGAGATGAAGAACTTATTGGTAACTGGAGTAAAGGTCATTCTTGCTATGACTAACAAAGAGACTGGCATCATTTTGACCCTGACCTAGAGATCTGTGGAACTTTGAACTTGAGAGATGATTTAAGGTATCTGACAGAAGAAATTTCTAAGCAGCAAAGCATTCAAGAGGTCACAGAGCATAAAAGTTTGAAAAATTTGCAACCTGACAATGCAGTAGAAAAGAAAAACCCATTTTCTGGAGAGGCTGGCTGTAGAAATTTGCATATTTAACAAGGAGCCCAATGTTAATAGGCAAGACAATGGGGAAAATGTCTCCAGGGCAAGTCAGAGACCTTCATTGCGGCTCCTCCCATCACAGACCCAGAGGTCTAGGAGGCAAAAATGGTTTCGTGGACCAGGTCCCCCCCCCAACCCCACCACTGTGTGCGGCATCAGGACTTGGTGCCTTGTGTCCCAGCCACTCCAGCCATGGATAAAAGGGGCCAAGGTACAGTTCGGACCATTGCTTCAGAGGGAGCAAGTCCCAAGCTTTGGCAACTGCCACGTGGTGTTGAGTCTGTGGATACACAGAATTCAAGAATTGAAGTTTGGGAACCTCTGCCTAGATTTCAGAGGATGTATGGAAACTCCTGGATGTCCAGGCAGAAGTCTGCTGCAGGAATGAAGACCTCATGGAGAACCTCGGCTAGGACAGTGTGGAAGGGAAATGTGGGGTTGGAGCCCCAACACAGAGTCCCCACTGGGGCACTGCCTAGCGGAGCTATGAGAAGAGGGCCACTGTCCACCAGACCCCACAATGGTAGAGCGATCAACAGCTTGCACCACGTGCCTGGAAAAGCTGCAGACACTCAATGCCAGCCTGTAAAAGCAGCCAGGAGAGGGGCTCTACCCTGCAAACCCACAGGGGTGGAGCTTACCAAGACCATGGGAACCCACCTCTTGCATCAGTGTTACCTGGATGTGAGAAATGGAGTCAAAGGAGACAACTTCAGAGCTGTAAGATTTGACTGCCCTGATAGATTTTGGACTGGCTTGGGGCCTGTAGCCCCTTCATTTTGGCTAATTTCTCCCATTTGTAATGGGTATATTTACCCAGTGCCTGTGCTTCCATTTTATCTAGGAAGTAACTAACTTGCTTTTGATTTTACAGGCTCACAGGCAGAACAGACTTGCCTTGTCTCAGATGAGACTTTGGACTTGGACTTTTGGGTTAATGCTGAAATGAATTAATACTTTGGAGTACTGTTGTCAAGGCATGATTGGTTTTGAAATGTGAAAGGGACATGAGATTTGGGAGGGGCCAGGAGCAAAATGATATGTTTGGGCTTTGTGTCCCCACCCAAATCTCATCTTGAATTGTAATCCTTATAATCCCCATAATCCCCAGGTGTCAAAGGAGAGGCTATGTGGAGGTAATTGAATCATGGGGTTGGCTTCCCCCATGCTGTTCTCATGATAGTGAGTGAATTCTCCCAAAATCTGATGGTTTTATAAGGGTCTCTTCCCCCTTTCCTCAGTACTTCTCCTTCCTGCCACCTTGTGAAGAAGGTGCCTCGCTTCCCCTTCATTTTCTGCCATGATTTTAAGTTTCCTGAGGCCTCCCCAGCCATATTGAACTGTGAGTCAATTAAACCTCTTTCCTTTATAAATTACCCAATCTCGGGCAGTTCTTTCTAGCGGTATGAAAACGGGCTAATACACTCCCTCTCTTGAGATTTCTGTTCAAATATCACATCAAAGAGGTCTGCCCAGACTGCCATATATAAAACATCAATTTCGGCTGGGCATGGTGGTTCATGCCTGTAATTCCAGCACCTTAGGAGGTAGATGTGGGTGGACTGCTTGAGCCCCGGAGTTCAAGAACAGCCTGGGCAACACAGTGAGACTCTGTCTCTATAAGAAAAGAAAACGTGTTAGCTGGGTATCGTGGTACATGCCTGTAGACCTGGCTACTTGGGAGGCTGATGTGGGAGGATCATCTGAGCCCAGGGAGGTCAAGGCTGCAGTGAGCCATGATCACGTCACTGCACACCAGCTTAGGCAACAGAATGAGACCCTGTCTCAAAAAATATATATAAATAAAAAATAAAACATCATGTTCCTGTCACTTTTTCCCTATCTTGTTAGTTTCTCTTTTCTTCTTAACACTTTAATACTTCCATTTGAAATACCACATATTTATTTTCTCCTTTCCTAACTTCCCATTACTATATGAGCTCCTTGAAAGGACAGCGTTTGTCTGTTTTTGGTTATCCTTGTGCCTATATTAGTATGTGGCACACAATAGTCACTCTACAAATATTTGATGAATTAATAAATGAGTGAACAGGTAAAGCTAGTAGAAGGAACAGTCATGCAGATTGGCTTAATAGGAAATACAAGTCTGACAAAATCACATTCCTTGGCAGTACTTAAAAAAACTGGGAAGGAAAAAGAAAACTTGCTCCTGCTGCTTCTGTGATACAAAGAAAAACCTCATTATTAGCAGTTTTTTTAAATAATAAAGTTGAGCATTACCATGTAGAATGGTATTATGGACAGAACACACCACATATGTATAAAAATAAGTAACTTCCCTGGGAAGAATCAATACAGATAGTCCCTAGATTACAAATGAGTTGTGTTCTGCACATTTGAAAGACAGCTGCTTAATGATCTGCTCGATGCTCTCTAAATTTTCTGACCGGGTTCACTTCACCCCTACCTGTGCATTCAGTCATACTCTATTCCCTGGAATCACCAAACCTGTACCTAACAGAGGAATTCAATGTGGTTACATTTCATAGGTTAGTCCACAAAATAATAGTTCACTTATAAACGAGCTGAAGTATAGTGTAAATAATGCTGGTTTTAACTCTGCACGTTGTAAGTAATTCAAATGCTTAGAGTTGTATCACATTTAATGGTATATTTACCTGAGAAAGGCAATATTAAACGTGCAAGGAAATGTGGGCCTTGAAGTCAAGTACACTTTGAAATCAAACTGTCACTCTGATGCTACCTTTGTGATGTTGGTCCAGTTTCTTAACTTCTTGAAGCCTTAATTTCCTCAACTGTGACTTGGAGATGATCATTGAGACTACCCACCAGGATTGTTTTAGGATTAAAGGAGATAAGTCTTCAGCACAGACTTAGTGTTCCATAACATTACATCTTATTATATTGAGCACTTCCAGTTAGTCTGAGTTACAAATGATATTTTACACATCATCGTAAACCAACGGTCTAACAACGTCCCTGATACACGGTTAATGCTAAATATGTGAGGTGAATGAATATTTAACAAGTACATTGATTCACATACTGGAGAGGGATGAATAGGCATGAAGGACAGGCACGAAGGCCTTTAATGTTTGTGAGCCTATCCATCTATGATGTTTTCCTTTTACCTTCCTCCCATTACCTTCTAATTCTCTACTCACAGGTTTGCTAAAAGATCTCTCTTCCACCACCACTCCTTGTCCCCACAGTGGGAGGAGCATGAGGGAAATTCAAAAATAAATACCACTTATGTAGCATTTTTTGGTTGGAATTTTAGGGTCAATATTTAGTTTTAAAATGTGTTAAATGTACATTTTCATTAAAAAGAAAAGAAAACATGATTTATACAAGATAAGCATGACTTCTTCACTGCTGCATCTTTTTGACCTTAGTTTATAGAATCTCAACTGCAGCCTGGGGCCTGCCCCATCTCTGAAGACCGTGCTGCCCAAAGGATGAGGATATGAAGTACCCTGTTAAAGTAATTCATTGGCATGACTGCTTGGTTTGTCCTGGATTAATCATCTCTCTCAAGGAGATTTTAGCCCATCGGCCCATTCCTGTGCAAGATGCCTAACCTGATTCCTAGGCTCCCAAGCTAGAATGAAGATACTAGCTACAAGTCCTCCCCAATGCTAGACTAACATACAATTTTGATCTCTGGAATTCTAGTCAATGATCCTACCAATGTGAGCTCTACCTCTTCATGGCCCCTAAACGCTGATATCTGCTTTCAGCCTTACCATATAATGCTCTTATGCTCTTCCTCTTGAAACACATGTTAAGAATGACCCATCTTCCCTTTGGAAGAGTTTAAGCAGTTTTCATAATCTCTTTAAAAAAATTTGACTGGCATCAAATCAAGCTCTGACCAATGACAGTTATAAAAAAAAAAAAAAAAAAACCAACAAAAAAACTAAATTCCCTCAGAGAAAACAGGAAAGTATGGGAGCAACTTTAAGAAAACACTTGGAATAATAACAAACTGTTACTTAATATTTAACCTATCTTTTCCCCGAAGGGCTCAAGCTGATTATTTTCTTGCTTTTGACGGCTAGTGAAAATAATTGGTTCCTCTCTTCTTTGTCACCTCCTTGAACTATTAAGTTTTCCCTTGATGTTTTCTCATGCATGAATATGCCAGTACCACTTACACAGGTCTTGTAAACAAGTTTCAAAAGCTATTAGACCCACATAAATTACACAAAATATGTTTCAGTCCCTACCAAATTTCCTAAAGCCATAGTTCGTCTGTCCACATCAACCCACTCCCTTCTTTTATTATCCCTGCTTTAGCTACCTTGTCACTCAAATAAACTGTGTAATTCACACCTGCTTTGAGCTGATTGGTTGATCTGTCCTTGATTGTCCCAGGTGGATTTATTCTCCCTTAAGCTTCAGGTAGGAATCCTGCAGGTTCATACCTGGAGAAGGAGATAAACCTATGCCTTAAATGCAATGTTCATTAATGGATAAATTCATAACTGGCAATGGTACCAAGAGTTACAGCATCTTCCTCTATTAAAAGCAGAGCAGCCTATGGGATGGCCAAGTCCTTGAAGGTGACAGGGATTTGACAAAAATGGAGGGTATGAATGGGCTATATTATAGTTAATGATTTGAAATCATTGTTTAGAAATAATTGCCTAGACAAGATAAGTTAACTGATCTCTACAAACTTGCATTATATATATTTCTCATCACTATGCATAATTTTTATTATAGATTTGTCCCTTGAGGTCCAGAAGCACAAAGCATTCTCATAGTCCCCCAACAGGCATCTTTCTTTAAGAGACAAAGCAAGGCAATAAAAGGGGGGTATTTTATTTATCGCCCAATTCACAGCATTTCTGTCTTGACTCTGAGAAGTGTAAATTCATAACAGGAGGTTTCTAGACATACATATAGAAGGTGATGCTGGTGATCCAAAAAATATTGACAATTGATAAAGAAATGCTGAAGGAGGTGTCACTATTACTAGAAGTAAAAGTTTTAACAATAACAATAAATGAGGCCTCTTTCTGTGTCCATCTGTCCACAATCCCATGCCATCTACCCCTTCTCTAGAGTTGCCATGGAAGAGAAAGTTCCACTACTTCAGTTACGTCATTTCTATTTGGAGGAAAGATGGGGGTCATTTTTTCTAATTGAAGAGTGTTGTGACATTTTTTTCCTCGCATTGTTTCATTTCATTTCGACTTATCTTTTTTCCCACTTATAATGTGCATATTATTTTTTGACATCAAGATAATGACAATAAAGAAAAAAAACTCACTGTCTTCTCAATTTTAAAAGAAAAAATAGCAAGGAAAAATGATCAGCTAAAGGATTTAATTTTAATGTTGTGATAAGCTATTTTTCTAAATGATTTTCCACATAATCTGTGCTTTAGCAAAGATCTTCTCTTTTTTTTCTAGTTTCCATCTGAGATTAGATAATGGGCTGTATCCCATTATGTGCATGCTGTAACTCCACCACACCTGTTACTTTTGACATATTTTTATATTTCTCAATAATTAAAAAAGAAAGAGTGGGCCAGGTGTGGTGGCTCATGCCTGTAATCCCAGCACTTTGGGAGGCTGAGGTGGATGGATCATCTGAGGTCAGGAGTTCGAGACCAGCCTGACCAACATGGTGAAACCCCGTTTCTACCAAAAATACAAAAAATTAACTGGGAGGGGTGGTGCACACCTGTAATCCCAGCTATTCAGGAGGCTGAGGCAGGAGAATCGCTTGAATCTGGGAGGCAGAGGTTGAAGTGAGTCGAGATTGTACCATTGTACTCCAACCCGGGCAACAGAGCGAAACTCCATCTCAAATAATAATAATAATAATTATTATTATTATTACTATAAGAATAAATGGTAGCTTATTTTTACCTAAACGTAGTAGTGGCTTCATGCCACAGTTGCTAATCTCTGAGCCATCTCACTATCCTTTGTTCAGCTTGTTAAATGTCTCTATACTTTCGTAACTAGTTCCTCATAGTAAATTCCTTCTTCCAGACCAGTGTTTCCCAACCTCACCACAACTGACATTTTGGACAGAATAATTCTTTGTTGTAAGAGACTTTCCTGTGTCCTGTACAGTGTCTACCAATATCTCTGTCTCTACCAAATGAATACCAGTAACACTCCTGCAATTGTCACAACCAAAAATGTCTCCAGAAATTGCCAATTTATCCCTCAGCGTGCAGCAGAATCACCCCTGGCTGAGAACCACTGTATTAGACTAGAAGATCTTTACTTTTCTGACTGACTCCTAAGTGATATACTCCTTTCAAGCGCATATTTATACCTGTTATATGTAAAAATAAGATTGGAATAAAATAACATCTATCTATCTGTGTCCCTATAAAATTAGTCATACTGTGGTGATATCTACATCTCTATAAAACTAGTAATATTGGTAAACAATAAAAGCTTATTCAGCAAATGAATATATTGATATGAAAAGATCTGCAAAACCTTGATCTACTTTTTCCAAAATTAATACATATTTTATTTTGTCCAGCTAATATTTAATATATTTTTATTTAATTAGCCATCATAGGGCCTTTGAAATAGTTCATACATTATGATGCCTTATATACTAAAGTGAGTAAAATTAAACATCTGTTAATACGGCTGACACAGAAAAACACAGTCAGATAGGCAGTTTTAGAGAGGAGAAATATACAATAATAGTTCTTCTTTTTCCCACCTCACATTATGAACAGGGAAGTTTTTCCTTAGCACTAACATCTCAGCAATACGTAAAGATATCACATCCCTTATTTTGTATTTATTAATCCTTCTTTTAATGCTTCTGTTGCTAATTTTTTAATTGACTTTGTCCTTACCGAATACTAGTGATAGGATTTATAAAGGATGATTAAGTCATGGACTAATTTAAACTTTGTTGAACTCATATAACAGTGAGTTTCAATGAAATCACACTAAGAATTCTCTGTAATGCTTTGTTCCAGCTATAAGAAAACAATACCCAATTTCATCTAAGAGATGAAAAATAAAGAAAGTATGTGAAGATAATCATATTCAATAGTTATTATATTATGATAATTTGCATATGTAGACATCCTTGAAATGTACATAGACCTTTATTCAAGATCTTTCCCATACATTTCAGAATTCGTTTTTATCATTCATACATTTGATAAACATATTTTAAGTGTAATATTTATCTTATCAACATGTAATGCATACTTAACAATGTGTAATATTGATCTTATCAATGCTACTCTACCAAAATTAAAAGTAGATCATTAAAGAAAAAAATCAAATTCCTCTTAATGTCATAGAAAAACATTCTTCTCTATTAAGATAAAGGACAACTTAATAAATCTAATATTTTCATAGCTCATATAAAGAAATATAGATAGGATTAGACAAATAGAAGGAACAAATGAAAGCCCAGTAGATTACCAGTGTTTTGAGCCTTAATTTAGGAAGTTATCAAATATGTACTTATTCATTTCAGGGAATTGTATGGTTTCAGAAATAAGAAAAGCGACAACAAAACGGTCAAATTTGCCTGAATGATTGGTCAGCTTTGTTCATTCTAAACTTAATAATCCTTTACTAATTCAGCAAAGTCTTATAAAAAATTTATCAGGTCATTGTTCATAATGATATGAGCAAAAAGGAAATGGAAATAGATAACAGGTCATATGATGGATTTCATTCAAATGTTATAAGGCATTTTGTGTTAAATATTTGTCATTCATATTACATAGAAATATAATTTATGTAGAGGAATGTAATAAACATTACTCTTTTTAAAAACATCAGTTTCCGAATATGCCACAGAATCTTAATTTGATTGAAATGCCCTCCCTCTCCCTTCTCTCAACAGTGAGTCTTATTTTGTGTTCAATAGCAACTAAATGTTTCCAGACTGTGAAGCCTTTCTCAAGTCCCACAACGGGAGTTATATCTGTCACCTATGATCCCACAGCACCCTCTTCATCCTCTATTATAAAATACTACCATTTTAGACTTATACTCTATAGTGTTCTGATTTTGCCCATATGCCTAACTCACACATGAGATCACTAAGGCCAGAAACCATATGTTATTCAATTTTCTGTTTATGTGGCCAGTTCCTTACAACCTTGCTTATATAAAGAGGACATTCACAACATGTTTATAAAATTGAATTCAGCTGAAAATTTTTAATGAGTTTGCACTGAGAAATGAGATAAAACTTGAAGGTATTTGCATGATAACTGAAAAGCTGTGGATCAAATCAAAGATCATAGAGGTATCTTGGAATACACCACAGTTTGGAGGTATCAGAATGATCTGGCTAAGTATTTGTTGCAGTATAGGATTTTGTTTTAAGGACATTAACTGCTCAATTAAAAAAAAATTGGACTCAATTTTATTTTCAGCTTGTGATACCTGATTTTGGTGTGTGTGTGTGTGTGTGTGTGTGTGTGTGTGTGTGTGTATGTGTGTACTTTTACATTTTCAGCAGCATGTGGCAGGTGGCTTTTTAGGGTACACTATTCCTGTGACCTGTTGACGTGACAAAGAGGTCGTTGGAGAAAAAAATCACTCCTCATGAGTACAGTAGTATCCCAAGAGAGGCAGATCACACTCACACATGACATAAGAATCAAGTTTTACTGAAAAATCATAGAGGTGTTTTTAGTAAAGCAATTAAGAAAATAATCTTTTTCTTATATATTTCTGATGCTTCCTAAAAATTATTATTATGATTATGATTATTATTGAGACGGAGTCTAGCTCTGTCACCAGGCTGGAGTGCAGTGGCGCGATCTCGGCTCACTGCAACCTCCGCCTCCCAGGTTCAAGTGATTCTCCTGCCTCAGCCTCCCGAGTAGCTGGGATTACAGGCATGCGCTGCCATGCACGGCTAATTTTTGTATTTTTAGTAGAGACGGAGTTTCACCGTGTTAGCCAGGATGGTCTCGATTTCCTGACCTCATGATCTGCCCACCTCGGCCTCCCAAAGTGCTGGGATTACAGGTGTGAGCCACCGCAACCAGCCTCCTAAAAATTATCTTATAAATAAGACTAATCAATTAAAATATTTTAAAGATATTTTTCTTCTAACTATACTTCCAAATATTTATATGTATGCTTTAGGAAATTGAGTTTTTAAGTGAAATATTAAAGACATCTCATTTTCCTGTTACCTGATTACTGTTCATTCAACCTGTTGCTGTATTGTTCCATTTTTATATGATATACCATAAGAGGCTATGTGTGAATAAGGCAATATACATGATGCAGCATTACTTTGTATTCACATTTTCAAGGTGTATAGAAAATTTTTAAAAAGATGTTAAAAAGGTAAATAAGTTCATTGTTAATTGTTATAGAAAGAGTAGACAAGAGAGAAGACTGAGTCTACATTTCGGCAAAAAGTCTTCATAAAAATTAGAAAATTGGTGAGTAAGTCAATGAAGCATTGTCAAAGTCACAAACAAAAGGTGACTCCACATTATTATAATTCCCCTGTCAGAAAGTAGACATGGCAAACTTATGACTTCAACCTCTGAAAATGAGGATCACAGAGGAGAAATAAGACTGGACAACAGGCTTCCAGCTGTGTTTCTAACAAGTATAATTACACTGGTTGGACATTATCATTAACTACATTTCTAATTCTTCTCATAATTCAAAAAGTGAGAGAGAAAAAGGAAGGGATAACTCTTTTTGGTGTTATAGTACCTCATTGTAGGTTTCCAAAAACAAGTGACTCCTGACAACAACTGTTAGCTCTGAAGTGAGAGTCTGCAAACTGCAGCCCTCAAGCCGTAACTAGCCCATTGCCATTTTTGTAAATAAAGTTTTATTGGATCACAATGACACATCTTCATTTCTCTATTGTCTATGACTGCTTCAACATTCTAACAGCAGAGTTGAATAGTTGCAACAGAGTATAGAAAACAAAGCCTAAAATATTTACTCTCTGGCCCTTTACGTTTACATTACAGAAAACACTTGCTAACCCCTACTATAAAACAATGTTGTCTTTGGAAGCTATGGTAAATTAAAAACAGAATAAAACTATTGCTCACGTATATTTTATTTTCAAAGTAAAATTACTTTTTTCCCCTTCTATAGATATTTTTTTTTTTTCCTGGAAGGAGCTTCCAATTTCAAGCAAGAACAGAAGCAGAAGCACTCCAATAAGTGTGCTTGGTTACATGAATAACTTGTGATGGTTTGGATATACTTCCTGGCAACACGCAATGTTAGAAACCTAGAAATATGTCTGCCTGGTACTTTTAAGGGGAATATATAGAGAGCCTCTTTTGAAACTTTGAAAAGATTTATTTTCTATTCTGGAGACATTTTAGTATGGAGAGTTGAAGGTTGCATAAAAATACAGCAACTAAGATAGTTGGAATAGTTATTCTCTAGGGAAACATTTGGCCCTAAGACAAGACATGTTGGAAACACATAAACAAGCAAATAAAATTGGCAAATGTAAGTTTTGATTCATATATGCTCGTGAAACTATATTCTTAATGCTATTGAGAGGTGAGGCCAGCTGGACTTTCTGGGTCGAGTGGGGACTTGGGGAACTTTTCTGTCTTACAAGAGGATTGTAAAACGCACCAATCAGGAACCTTCCCGTCTTACAAGAGGATTGTAAAACGCACCAATCAGCGCTCTGTAAAATGCACCAATCAGTAGGATTCTAAAAGTAGCCAATCGTGGGGAGGATTGAAAAAAGGGCACTCTGATAGGACAGAAATGGAACATGGGAGGGGACAGTAAGGGAATAAAAGCTGGCCACCCAAGCCAGCAGCGGCAACCTGCTTGGGTCCCCTTCCACGTTGTGGAAGCTTTGTTCTTTTGCTCTTCACAATAAATCTTGCTGCTGCTCGCTGTTTGGGTTCGTGCCACCTTTAAGAGCTGTAACAGTCACCGCAGAGGTCCGTGGCTTCGTTCTTGAAGTCAGCGAGACCACGAACCCACCGGCGGGAACCAACTCTGGACACACTATGACCTTAAGTAAGTCTGTCTTCATGGATCCTAGATATTTCCTAGCCTTTGTATCTTCCTTAAAGGTTACCTTCAGGTGCTTTTGAAGTTGTTATGACCACATGTACAGTCCTTACCTTTTGTACATGAAACTCAACTTTTGATTCCTATTTTATGTTTCCATTAGATGGCTACGTATGTAAACAAAAAAAGTTTTTGTGACACTCAGGCATTACTACGGAGGGAGGTGAACGTTCATTAAGACATTTATCTCAAATATTGCATCCAGAAGAATGACACTAAGAATAAACTCAATTGAAGTATGAGATAATGTGCTTCAAAGACTAAGGGACTAAATAACTCATCCTCTTCCTAATTACCTTATAGATACCTTAGTTCTCTTTATCCTTCTCCAACATACAAAGCTAGTTCATTTTTAAGGTCTTTGCATAAGCTGTCCCTTGTGCCCGGAATGCTTTGCCCCTACATCATTACATGGCTGACTCTAGTTTGTCCATCAGTTCTTCTTCAAAATCACCTTCCAAGTGAGGTATTGAAGACTTTTTCAAGATTTTTCTCTTTTTTATTAATTCTGTGCATAATATTTCCCACTTTCTAAATTGTTTTCCTTTCTCAGTTTGTATCCTATCCCTGCTTACTAAAATTACAGTTTCATGAGCACACGGGACCTATGCTTCCTTGTACGTAGTGTGCAGGATATTACTTGGAATATAGTGGGCACCCAATATATTAATGAATACAATCATTGTAGAAAGTTAAATCCACAGTGGTCCAGATGTGGTGTTAAGCATGAACCTAAATCTTCTACCTTCAAGGTGCTCCTAATATGGTTGGGTTGATGATCACATACAAATCAGATAATTATACCACTTGAGGAACATTAGGTTTACAAACTAAGCATTATTATATCATTTTATTAAAATGTATTCATATCAGTAAAGTGGGGACGGTGGAGTCAAGGAAGAAGTATTGTAGGTGACATTTTAGCTGAGTATAGAAAGGGAGGTTAGGGATGAAGCACCAGGCAAATGCTTGTCACAAGTGACCTTGTGAGTCACTTGTGACATGAAGTGAGTCACTTGTGACATGAAGCTGTATAACGTGCTTAGAGGAAGACATACAGTTCATCACGGTCACCTTTCGTCCTGACATCCACATTCATTTCTCTGACTACCCAACCCCTCACTTGGATTTTTCAAAGGTATCTCAAAATTAACACATCCAAAATACGTTTACTCTCTTTCTCTGCAACTCTTTTCCTCTCCCCTTATGCATTTAACCATTCATTATTTTATCCAATACGTACTTACTGATCACTTATTATTTTCCCATTTCAAAAGAAATGGCAGTGTTATCTCCAGAGGTGTATGACATCAGAAACTGGGAATGATATATGACACTTTCCTCAAATTCAACTCTGCAATCGTTCAACTTAACACTAACCCCCGTCAATTACGTCTCCTGTATTTTTCTCAGGTTTGTTGTCACATTCTCACTAGAACTATTTTAGTCAAGACCACCATCGCTTCTTGCCAAGATTACAATAATAACCTCTTTTGTCCATTCAGATTTGCTTCTCTCTGAACCATTCTCCACACTTCAGCGAAAGAAGTCTCTGAATCAAAGCTCTAATCATGACTCTTTCCTGACAACCACGTGACAAAGCCCTTCTGGGCAGAGAAAAAACTCCCAACAGGACCCGAAGGACCCTCCAGGTTCTAGCCCCATCTCCTCTTTAGCTTGGTCTCTTGAACATCTTTCTTCCAAACATAATCTGCTGTCACATTCTTTCTGTTCCTTTATCTCTGACACTCTCAGGCTTAGCTCTTTAAATGTGGTACTCTGCATAGAAAAATTTCCACCACCTTCACGGTAGTTTTGTGTGGCCAAGTCTATATCACTTCTTCACAGAAGCTTTTGGTGACCCAGATACTAATTCAAATTTCTAACTCGGACACCAGTGGTTCCCCTTTCTCTCTCTCTCTCAATCTCTCTCTCTCTCTCTCAGAATCTCATGAGATTCATCATGGTTGATTACTTGCATAAAGTCTGACATCCCTGCTGGGATTATGTCTGTCATGTTCACTTCTGTATGCTCAGCATCTAGTTATAATTAATAATAATAATACTAATTACTGAGGGAGCTAAATACTTATTTGTTGGATGAGTGATTGTGGTAAAAATGAAAATGAAATGATGTAAAATAGTGGAATGATAAAACAGAGTGTTGAAAATGTTGATGAGAGCCAGATTATAAATGCTTTGAGAAATATTTCAGAGGCTGTGCTGACAGGATTTTGGTAGAGATTTGGGCAATAAAGAGCCAGAATGGATAGGGATATATGATAACTGCAGGGTTTTTCAGAGAAAGTGAATTATAAATCCATCAGTCAATATAAGAAATGCAGAAAGAAAAACAATGTTGCGGATGTTAGAAAGGATTGAGAGATTCTGAAGTGATGGGATGTTCAGGAAATCGAAGTTAAGATATCTAGTAGGCAAGCAGAAACCTACCTTATGGCCAGAACATTCTCTGACCCAAAAGTCTCAAGACCATTTTTTTTTTTTTTACAACTAATGTCAATAAACTACTTTTCATGTACACTAGAAATGATAGTGTGAAATATATTAATGAGGTTAACTATTGTTAAAAATCAGAATATGCATTCCTAATATGTGTTTGTAAAATAAATTTTATTGTATATATTTAAGGGATACCACATAATGGTGTAAGATGCATAGATATTTATATATATAGTGTAAAATAGTTACCATTGTGGAGAACATTATCATATCTATCATTTCACAGTTACCCATTTTTCACTCTGTGGCAAGAACAGCTATAATCTATTCATTTATCAAAAATCTTGAATACACACTATTATTAACTGTAGTCCTCATGATGTATATTATATCTTTTAATATATTAATATATTTTAATCATTTGTATCCTATGACCTACATTGCCCCATTTCCTCACAACTACCCTGACCCTGGTAACCACTGTTTAATTCACTATCTGTATATATTTGACCTTTTTTAAAAAAAGATTCCATATATAAGTGAGATCATACAATATTTTTCTTTCTTGGTCTGGCTTATTTCATTTAGCATAAGGTCCTCCAGGTCCATCCATGTTGGGACAAATGACAGATCTTCTTCTTTTTAAGGCTGAAAAATATTCCAGGGGGTGTGTGTGTGTGTGTGTGTGTGTGTGTGTGTGTACACACGATTCTTGGACCATATTTCTTTGTAAACTGTTTTCTACATATTCTTAGCCCTTCCATAGAAACCCCAGATTCTCTCTCTCTCTCTCTCTCTCTCTCTCTCTCTCTCTCTCTCCCTCTCCTCCTGCTCCTCCTCCTCCTGCCTACATCTCTCTCTCCCTTCCTCTTAAAGTAACTCTAAAATATAATTTTAAATATTCTTATTTTGTCTGGTGCCAGACTGTTTTGGACACTAGCCATAAAATATTTTTAGCTGTGTTCATTTAAGCTACCATACAAGCCAGGCGCTACATCTACAGAACACCTTTCTTTTTACTTTGTAAGTTCTTTTATAATATTGGATGTGGTGATGAGATAAAGAAAAGAGTGAGGTATAATGGTCTTCCTAGGTATCAGAATTTTCTTTTTGAGAAACTGTTTTTCTTCCTTTAGTAACGAAAACAAGAGCCAACATAATGATCTGAGTTCTGATAATGAGTGTGTTTTGGCACAAACTGTCACATGAATCAAAGGTAACTTGAACATGTATAAATTAACATTCCACAGCCAGAAAATATTTAGATTCACTAAATCTGTTACTCTAAGCAAAATTCAGGAGTTAAGTCAATGATAGATGGCCATTTTGGTGTCTGGATCTTAGGAGAAAATAGGACCATAAGAAATAAACACTGTCCTTACAAAGAAATAAACTTTTGTCCTGGAGTTAAATGGTAAAAAGGACGCCCCCTCAGGGGAGCATACCTTGATAATATTGATCATCCAAATAGGATGATATGGTTTGGCTGTGTCCCCATCCAAATCTCATCTTGAATTGTAGCTCCCATAATCCCCATGTGTCATGGGAGTGACCTGGTGGGAGGTAATTGAATCACGGGGATGGTTCTGTGCTGAGGGAGCTAAATACTTGTGCTGTCCTTATGGCAGTGAATAAGTCTCAGGAGATCTGATGGTTTTATAAAGGGCAATTTTCCTGCACACGCTCTTGCCTGCCACCATGTAAGCCATGCCTTTGCTACCCCTTCACCTTCCACCATGATTGTGAGGCCTCCCTAGTCATGTGAGACTGTGAGTCCATTAAGCCTCTTTTTACTTATAAATTACCCAGTCTTGGGTATTTCTTCATAGCAGTAGGAAAATGAACTAATACATAGGATTATTGAGAAATATACATCAAATATAAAATGTGATTTTTAATGATTTTTTCTCGATTGATGTCTGATGGAGACTAAGTGCTTAATATGAAAACAGAACTCATGGTGTTTTCTTCTGCGGAAAGCAAGTTAGTGTAGTCCAGGCTTGTAACTTGCTGGTATAAGAAAAGATCCTAGACTTTCCAAAGGGAAAAATGGACAGAAGGTTACATCGTAGGGTCAGCAGTTTCTTAGATGTGGTCATCTGGTTATAGTATTACTCTGAAATATTACCTCCTTCTAGGTTTTTGATAGGAGTGGGATTGCAGACAATTTGAAGCTCTACTTTATGATGAAAGCCTGGTGAGCTCTAATTGAGAAATACAGACCTGGTTTGGATACTAAATGAGTAGGTGTTTATTAACACACTGTTAGGAAAATTGAGAATTCTGGCAGGTTTTAGTGCTCAAAGTAAAACCTTTCCCATTTACAGAGAGAGGTGGGCTTGGAGAGACCCTTCAGAATGAGTTGGGACCTTCCTGAAGAAGGAGCTCTGGATCCGTTCAAGCATCACTGTGACTTCTGAGAGACACGTCTCTATTAGTCCATTTTCATACTGCTATAAAGAACTGCCTGAGACTGGGTAATTTATAAAAGAAAGAGGTTTAATTGACACACAGTTCAGCATGGCTGGGGAGGCCTCAGGAAACTTACCATCGTGGCATAAGGTGAGAAGGAGCAAGCCACCTTCTTCACAGGTGGCAGGAAGAAGTGCCCAGTGAAGCAGGAAGAGCCCCTTATAAAACAATCAGATCTTGTGAGAACTCACTCACTATCAGGAGAACAGCATGGGAGAAATTGCTCCCATGATTCAGTTACCTCCACCTGGTCTCTCTCCCTTGACATGTGGGGATTGTGGGGATTACAATTCAAAATGAGATTTGGGTGGGGACACAAAGCCAAACCATAGGATCCATCAAATCCCAGGATGATGGTTCTCCATCCCCACAATGTGTGCAATATTTTAGGAGTCTTTTGTTACTCATAATAGCTAAAGTACAGATCTTTGCAAGTAGTTTCATCTTCCACGAGTGAAAGCAGATTCAAACAAAAACATTACTCTCACCTGCATCATACGTTTTCGAGAGTGAGCAGTGTGCTGGAAATTGCCCCAACCCATGCTGTTTTATGTAAGCCATAGTCCTTAGAATGTAGGTACTCAGAGAAGAGCAGGTACTTTTTTGTGCTAGGAAGAAACATGGCCAAGCAATACTGCTATCTGACGAGGAAGCTGTTGTTCTTTAACCTGGACCATTTTCAGAGTAGGCATTTTAAAAGCTGCCTGATGAGAACTTTTTGAAACTGTAGCAGAGCTTCCATGGATATTCTGATTGGATATATCATTGCTTCCTGCTCAGCTTGCTAAGATAACTTGAAAACAGAAAATCCTTTTGTCTGGAGTAGGTATTTAATTAACCAAATGTTAAGTATTGTGTATTTTTTCAGTTGCTTAAGTGGAAAGACATTATTACCTGAATATAGTTTTTTTATGAACAACCCAGAATATTACCGGGTTAAAGGTCATTGGTTTATTACTTAACCTAAAAATAATTGCTTTGACATATATGGAATATTGTATATCTCATTATTTTTTGATAACTTCAGAAGAGCTAATATAATCGGAGGCAGATCTACAGTGGAATAGGGAATTCAGAATTTATATTCTAACAGAAAAGGATACAGTAATATGACAAGGAAATTCCTAAAAATATAGTATATTTTCCATGTGAAAACATATTTCCAGACCAATTTCAAAAGAATGATAGCTTAGATTCCTCTCTGCTGCAGTAAGCTATATCCCCCACTTGAAATACATCCCACCTTTCCTATAATTACCTCTTCCACCAGAATTGCAATTATACATTTCTTTTAATCTTTTACTTTTCAAAAATAATGGAAATTTAAATTGGGAATTAAGTTGCATTTAATTTCCAGTTTCGCATTTTAATCTTTGAAAATAGCCTAGCCACAGGCAAGGTGCAGCTGAAAGCTTCAATGACAGCACACCTAAAATGGGAGGCCTGTCAGATTTGACATATGAAGTGGTGGTTTGGCTTCCAGCAAAGCTTTGTCCATTATGCTCCCTCTCTTGTTCACCTCTCCCTCTAGCTTTTCTTCCACTGTCAGAGAGCTGAAATGCGAATAATTCTACTCCAGGAAACATATTTCACATAATTTCTATAACACCAAATGAAAAGCCTTTAGACTATATTATCATAGAAGCTAGTCCTTATTTAACACCAGATTTTATTGGATATGTAATTTTATATACATATTGTATTACATACCTCTACCTAAATACAGAAATACTTTACAGCCTTATTATGTGTAATAAAAAAATCTAACATCTTCTCAAGCCACATTGCAGATGGTAGTATTATCTGGATGGTGCCTCATGAACAAACTTCAAAAGGAAATGTTGATGTGAGAAGATTCCTATGGTTCTGGTAAGACTCTACATCCCCCTCCCCCCAGGTCTGTGGAATAATGTATAGGCATATAAACAGTACATACATGGCATCAATTGTTATAACCATATATATGTGTGTGCGTGTTTAAATTGTATTAATAAGATTTTTTTATACACTCAGCACCTAACAGTGTCTAACACATTTTATATCTTCCAATAAATGAATGAAGCAAATGAAAACATCAGTAAACAGAAAAAAACAGGCATTTTATTCAGTTTACTTTAATTTGAGTGGTGTTTGGTTGTAATATCTGACAAAAGTTAGTGCTATTTAATGGTTTAAAATAATTTAATGTGTAGTTTTCCCCTTTAAGTTTTGCCCTGTATCTTTTGCTATGGTCTGTCAGCTATAATTTGTTCAATCTTTTGTGTAGCTTTCTTCCCAGTCTTACAAGTCTAATTGGGGAAAGTAAGGGAATTAACAATGATCAAAAGTCTATTCTTTTTCTAAACATTCACATATCTTTGAATCTCTACAGGAATCCTGGAAAAGAGGATCATTTTGCAGAAAAAAAACATAGGCTAGAGTTTCTGAACACCTTGTCCCAAAGGTACAGCCAGAGTTTGAATCCAAGTCAGTCTAATTCCAAACATAGATCTTTTCCTCAAACCATAACATTTTCAAGAACTGTATTTTATCATTTCTTATGATCCCTGCCAACTTACTCACAATATTATCAGTAGCCTAGACATTCACTAAATGCCAACTGTGAACAAGTGAAGCCTTTAAGACTTGGATGGTGTTGAAGTTCCCTGGTGTGATATTTCAGTTTACTCAGTACCCACCTGAATGAATGCTTTGAAGAAAATAAACAAGTGAAGCTTAATCAGCTAAGTAAATGTTTGGATAAAAAAATGAAGCTTGTTTAAATAAGGGAAAGCCCTTATTCTTCTCTGATCTACTCATTTAAGTCAAACAATTACCATAAAGCTAATTCTCAAAATTATGTTTTCTTTAATTATTGAATTGGGTTAGTACTGTCCTTTGACCCATTAGTCCAAATACACACATGCACAGCTACACAAATATATATATATATATAAATATATATATATATATATGTATGTATACATAGAGAGAATCTAAAAAATACTCTAACTGACAAGATGGAGATGACACTAATTTATGCATATATCAGGGCAATTTCAATTTCTGCATTTTAATAGCTTATCTCTGATATTTGCAAACTAAGAGCTTCATTTACAGACTGTACTTGTATCATGAGTTCCCAAACTACAACTACAAATGTTTAAATATCTTTTTAAACTGAGTGTGCATGAATGTTTTTTATCAGAAGCATTATTTAAAATAATTACTATTATCTTTTAAGTAGCATCAGGCTGTTGGAATTTGCTAGGAACTACCAACAAATACCTTCTCTTAAAGATACTGATCAGGGAACTCCAAACATTCTTGCTTCTGTATCCCCTAAAAAGACTCTTGAAAAATGAGTCAACCCTTGCAGATTTAAAATCCGCATTCGAAATGTACTTTTCATTCTTAAATGACTGAAAATAATATAATTTGAGGGACATTGTAAATATCGATATCTTAAAACTAAGATATATGTTTATGCCTGAAAAAATCTTATTGATCACCTAGTATACTTTTCTTAAACAGTATGTATACACAATGAGTGTTTTTTTTCTGTTACTGTAAGTCCTAAATGTAAAAAACAAACCTTTTCAATTGAGGTATTGTTACAATTATTAACGTGCAATTGACCAAAACAATATATGTATATTATAAAATTTGATAAACATAAAAATAAAATTTTATTGAAAATACATCTCTTAATAAGATGGATGGGTATTTAACAATTTATACACCTTCAGAAGAATATAAATTAATTCTACAATTGGAAAGGCTTCAGCATCAATTCTATCCCTAATTTTTGTCTGTATAGATGTAAATGATGAAAAATCTTATTCAAATAGGTGAGTAGAAAGAAACGGAAGGAATTGTATTATAGTAGCATTGCTTAATCATTTGTGCTCCTGCTATGGCATATGCTAAAAGTACATGATGATTGCTTACCAAAACGTATTTTTAATGATCTATCGGCTGACAACTTATCAGGTCTTCTCTTCGGGTTCAGTTGAAAGCAAAGAGTTAGCAACCACTCTTCTTGCAAAAAGCTATGTTGCCCTGTCATGAAAGTCATTCATGCTTCTTTTGTTTGAAGCCTTAGTAAGATCAGAGTTGGATGAAATATAAGGCTTTTTTTCTTAAATTGGGAGAAGTGGTTAGAAAAGGCAAGTGGTTAGAAAGGAGAAACAGCCTGAGGTCTTGACTACAGATGTCTTTTTTTTTTTTTTTTTTTTTTCAGGCAATTCAGTTTTCAGGAAGAGTACAAAATAAAGTAGAAGATCTAGAAATAAATTCCCTTAAAACTATCTGTGCCTACTCCTTGGAATGCCTTCATGTACTCCCAGGTTACTCCACTGTGAGGACAGCTGTTTTAAGAAATTTCGAATCATTACCTGTGACAAGAAATATAAACTGGCACATCAGAATCTCCTGATAACTTGTGTGTCCACTTCCTCAGTTGTACCTCACAGCTAAATAGTTATCTGTTAAACCAAGAGAAGTTGCAGTTCTGGGGGCAATAGCCTTATTGGTATTTGTGCCTGAATATAATTCTGAACTCCCTCTTTTCTACCTTCTAGGCTTTGAGTTCATTTATTTCAGCAGCAAAAGATGTCAGGAGCAAGAGGCAGTCCCACATAGTGTAGATTCATTGAATGAGGGAGCCAAACAGTGATTTAGAAACAACATTGCCAGTAACTATCTGATTAGCCTTAGGCAAGTTTCTCAACCTTCCTGAATCTGTTTCTTCACAATAACTCCCAGTCTGGCTGCACCTTCGACTCACACAAAGATCTTTAAAGAGATACTGTTGTCCAAGCATCGCCCCCAGGAATATGGATTTGATTCTCTGCTTAATTCTAAAGTGAAGGCAAAACAGGAAAAGTCAAAGTTAGAATCATTATCCATATAGTCTTTCAAAAAATATATAATAAGTGCCTATCATGAGCAGTGTTGCAAGTTTTCTGTGTTAAAATATCTACAAATTATACTTCTAAAGAAAAATTGAATGCTACTTGAATACAATAAATGATACATTTGAGCTTATCAGTCTTGAAAATCCTTTGTTCAAAAACGATGCAAAGTAGAGAGGGCAATTTAGTCTACAAAAACTTTTATTTAAAAAAACTGAATAAATAGCACAGACACATCCAAAAAGTGTATAGCATGGAAAAATTCAATAATGTATAGCACAGAGACACCCCCAAATTTGTGTTGTTTATCATGTTGCATCATGGTCTTAATTCCACATTTCATGTAGCAGAATGTATCCCTTCATTTTGAGATCCAGAAGGACAAAAGGGTTGCACAGTTCCCCTTTTTCTGCCTCTCGGAGATCTTAAAAATGAATGATAAACAATTAATTCTACCCAGGATACCAATGAAAATCTATTTTCTTTTCTTTTTCCCAAACAAAAACCTCAGAAGGCAAGTAAACTGACCTTTTAAATGAACAAGATCTGACATGATTGAGCTAACCCAAGAAAGAAAATTCCCCTCTGAAGTGAATAATTTTTTAATTAAAAGGTGAAATCTGACACATCACACTGGTTTTGTTATTATTGTTGTTTTCTTCCATTAATCTCACACTCGTAAGAAAAAAAATGAGTGTATTATATATGACTGTGTTTTATAGATGCATATATTCTACTCTATCCATTTCAGTCCATCTTTTCTTAATGCATTTGTCCTGTCACTTTTACTCACTGTAATTCAATTTTGTTAGGAAATGTAACTCGCTGTTTTATGCTTTATATATTTCACCTGATGCAAAATGGACTACCTGATTGATTCTGCATTTTTAGTCCACCTTTGAATTTATAGATAAAGATCAACAATTAACTTTAAGCATTATGCTAAAAAAATCTTAGCCAGAAGGATTGCTTCCTGAAAATGATTTAATTTGTATTTTTCTTAAATATAATAAAATGCCCTGATAAGAAGTAATCAACAATTTTGATTCTAGTTTTCCATTTGATTTGAACATGTACATTATTTCAGCATGGTGGATGATACATATCTACAGCTTGAAATATGTGCATTGGGGAGGTTTTGTTGAATGCTAGATTGCTGTTTTGCTGTAGTTTGATTTATTTGTGTGAGTTATTAGCTTGATATTGGAAAGTAACTAAAATTTGAATATATGATATCTCTGCTTCTGAAATAAATATAGCGATTGAAAATGGACCTTTTATGAACGTTGAGTGGGGCAATTTCTGGCAGGTGGGGAAGAGAGTAAAGAAGATTCATTGTATGAAAGCAAAGCAAATACACATAGAACTTGTAATTTAACGGAACATATCAGCAGATGTGGTTCTCAGAATGACTCTTACATTTACATTAATGACTATCTAAAAAGAATTAGACAGCACCGTGAACTTCCTTTTTCAAAATTAAAAGTTTTTTTTAAAATAAAGAAGTTCAGATTTTAGCATCAACTGACCAAAGCATAAGGGGCCATCCAAGAAAAAAAATAATCTGAAGCACTTTCATAAAACGATGTTACAAATCAATATTTTAGACACTTTGAAGATCATCTCCTTGCTTTTCAACCTTCACACTTCCGAGACAGGGGATATATATGTTTATATCATCTCTTTTTCTAAAATAAATCATTTCTGATTGAGCATCTTTTACAGAAGAGCCCACTGCAAATGTCAATTTTTATAATTGCCCAGACCATACTTGTGGGAAAAATGAAGGGACAAGAGTAGGAAGGTCATTCAGGGTCACTGAATACATTTCTACCACAGGAAAGCATTACGTCTTTTGCACTTTATTTCTTCAAGCCATTCCCTTCCAACATCTCATATCCCTGTCCCCCCAGAAAGTTGGAGTCACAGGTGACACAGCTGGGAAAACTTTCTTTATGAAAAGATTAACACATGTTTTAAAAAGAGATACATATGTATGTCAAAATTATTCCAGAACACTGTTCTCAGAAGGGCAGTAACTGCAACCAAGTTAGTTTCTGCTATTGAAACAAAATGTGAAGCTCATGGGGAAATTTCATCACAATATGCTGTCTATGAATTAAAAATCCATTTAATATAAAGCCTCCAAGAAACAAAGAAAACTTGTTTTTTATTTTTACAGAAGACAACGTACAACTTTTTAACCCCTAACCTAATTTTTTAAACCAAAACCAGAATTATTTTTTTTTTCTTTTTAGCTTTCAATGAAGCACAATCAAATTCCTGGAGAAAAGATGGGAAAACGGCATAAAACAAAGCACGAACACGGTATTTAAATCCAAGTTTGCCACAAAATGTAAATGTATTTCAGTAAATGTTCTATAGGATTTGTAAACAATTGAAAAGCTGTTATTTCTTTTACAACTGCAACATAATAAACATTATAATAATATACCTTTCTGGTAATGATATAGAATTTTTTATCTGGTGACAAATAGTTCTGCCAAAAGACAGATAAAGTAAATCAAATGCAGGCGTAACATCTATATTATGTAGATGTGTGTAGTTATTACTAGTGGAGATTAATATGATTTATTATGCTTATAGGTCATTTGTTTGACCTTTATAGTAAAATGCCATTTCATATCCTTCTTACATATTGTTATTATTAACCTCCATTAGTCATATATTTTTGTAAATACCTTCTCTAAATCCATTATATATTTTAAAACTTGGTTTATGATTTATTTTGCTCTATGGAAGCTTTAAACTATCAGTTAATTCAGTCTGCCAATTTTATGTTTTAAGTCTTCCAGGCTTCCTGACTTACCAAAAATCTGTCTCCCATGAAGCTTATAAAGTCCTACACTTTCCTTTATTGTTTATATGAATTTATATTTCTAGTTAGCTCCTTAATCTAGTAGGGCGTTTTTTTGGTCTATAGTTAAACTTATAGGTACATGAATAGTCAATTACGAGACACTATTTATTAAGTGAAATAGGCTATCCACACAGAACTAAAATATCCAATCTTATTTGGATGTTTTCCTGGACTCTCACTTGTAAACCACTAACCCATTTCTCTAGCCTTATGCCAGCACACTGTGGTTTTGATCACAATTACTTCAAAGTATAGTAGAAATCTGGAAGTGTATGTTGCTGCCATAATATGCTTATTAATAAAATTGTTTCCAATTTATACACACACATACACGCACACAATTTCCTTCTATATAAACTTTAAATTACATCATTGCCTATTTCCTTTGAAATTATATTGCCCCCAAACACATCAAAAGCATTCTGATTATAACTGTATTAAATTCAAATGTTAACTTGGCTGGTATTGCAAGTTTAATGACAATAAATCTTAAATCCTAAAACAATCCTACGTAGTCAATTTTTGCTTTTTCTTATGTATATTTTTATGCTTTTCACCTATAGGGTCTACAATTTTTATTCCTCCTTAATTTATACATTGTCATCAGTGTGAATGAAATATTTCCATTTGCATTTATAGTCATTAATATGAATAAAAGCTATTATGTATCTATTCATAAAGTATTTTTAAAATTATTTCACAGATTTTAAAATTGAGTCTCCTAGGTTTTCTCTGCACAATAATCCTATTTAACAATAATTTTTCTTCTTTAAAAATATTTCTTCTTTCCTTTTGAGGTTATCATTACTATTATTATTTTAGAGGTGGAGGTCTTGCTACTTTTGACTTATTTCATGAGCTAGACCAAGCAAAGCAAATTTGAAAACTTTGAAAAATAAAAATTTGATAATTTTTAACGTTGACAATGGTGCTTCTTTACTAGGGTGTCAGCAAACTACAAAAAAAAAAAAAACAACTTTGTTTTGCAAACTTTGTATTTATAAAATTTTATTGAAAGCACAGGCACACCTACTAATTTAAGTATTGTCCATAGCTGCTTCCAATGCCACAACTGCAGAATCAAGTAAATGTGACAGAGACTATTTGGGCCACAAAACTTAAAATATTTACTATCTGCCCCATTACAGAAGAAAAAATGCAGATTTCTCTTTATCCTTCTCCTTCCTTTTACTACGCAGCAGGCATACTTCTAGGATTTTTTTTTTTTTCCTATATAACCACATATTATTTCCGCAAAGTTATTAGGAAGTACATGGGACTTTCCAGCCCCATTTCACATTGGATAAAACTGAGGCATGAATAAGCTAAGTCACCTGCCAAAGGTCACGTGGGTGGCAAATATCTTCAGCAAAATTTTGACCCCAAAAGCCTAACTATGAGTTCATAACTGTGCAGTAGAACCCTTTCATCTTTGGTCCCATAGCACTTATCATACTGTATTGTTTTGTTACATTTTTTTTATTATACTTTAAGTTCTAGGGTACATGTGCACAACATGCAGGCTTGTTACATATGTATACATGTGTAATAGACTGTAGCTATATGTAAACATACCAGCTTTCTTAGATGTTACTTCCTCATAAAGACCTCCCCCTAGACCAGTGATTTTCAACTAGGGATGATTTTGCTCCCCAAGGGACATTTGGAAATGTCTGGGACAAATTTGTGATTAAAGAAGAGAGTACTATTGGCATCTAATGGGCAGAGGTCAGTTGTGATGCCAAACATCCTATAGTGGACAGGGCAGTCCACCACAACAAAGATGTATTTGGCTCAAAACGTCAGAGATTGAGAAACATTGCCGTAGATCAATTGTCATCTTCTGAACTTTGACGTTTACACATGCAACTAATTGTACAATTATTTAACATCTGTACACCCATTCACTGCTTTCACCACTAGACTGAAAAACTCCATCAGAGACCACATATGTTTTGTGCAATGCTATACCGCCTGTGCCTTCCGCAATAAGTGACACAGCAGACACTCATTAAGTATAAGCTTAGTGAGTGAATAGTGGATAACTTAAAGTTTTATAGTGTATACATGGGACTTGTCAAGAGTCTCTGTGTTTCATAAACATTGTCGTCATATTCTAGCTAACCATATTTAAAATTTTATATATATATATATATATATATATATATATATATTTCACCACAAGATTTTTATGGTGGTGCTTTTATCCACAGTTATAAGTTCTTTAAGAGATATTTTCTATCATTAAAAAATAAATTTATGCCTATTTACTGAAGTATTTGTGAAAAAAGCCCAACTGACGAGTAGGTTAGAACATTCGAAATCTTCAGGTTTTGATAGTTTTGTTTTACATCCGTGTTAAAGATGTTTTAACTGGCTCTTCAACATTCTCTAAGTAGGTAGGGCTGGCTCTAGGCAAGCACCTGAAGTATAGAGTTAGCTTCAGGTCTGCCTTCCTTTTCTTACCTTTAGGATTTCCTGGTATCTTTATCCTATTTCTCCCAATCCCATCTTCTGCTCTGTACCTCTCTTGTTGGGAAATAAGACTCAGAATCACAGACTCTTAGAACACAACAGGACTTTAAGGCCACCTCTCCTAATCACCCAACTGATAAACAAATTCCCATGTATAACTCCCAGGTCCCAATTTTTCATTATCTTGCCTATGATCAGGTATCATAAGTGCTAGAAAACACACTATTAATTGAGGCACCAGTTCCTGCTTTTGAAAGTTCTGATATTTAGATGGCTTTTTGTTGAGTCAAATGTCACCCCCCACTTTAGCTTCTATCGAGAGACTGTGTACCTCTTGGAATTATTCAGCACAAGTTTAAATTTTTGTGTCCGTAACAGTCCTTCAAACATTTGAAGACAACTATCATCTCTCTTCTTCTCCCTGCTAAACTTCCCTAGATCTTTCATTACCTAGATGACACAGCGTCGAGGCTTCTCAATGTATGAACAACTAACTAACTTCCAACTTTTCTCTGACTGGTTTAAAATCTCTTGTAAGATTTGACTGTTTATTCATTACATGAAGGAACAGCGAGAATAAGGGGATAATGGTTCCCTCTGTTCTCTCCTCAATGCATATTTGTTGTATACTCTTTGCCAGGAGCTATGCTAGGTCCCGGGAACACGATTTTGGGCAAAATAGACAGATTCCTTTCCCTCTTGCTGCTTATAATACAATTGTCCCTCAGTATCCATGGGGGATTGGTTCCAGGATCCCCACGGATAGCAAATCCACAAATGTTCAAGTGACATATAAAATGACATACTATTTCCATACAACCTACACACATCCTCCTATATACTTTAAAACATCTCTAGATTACTTATAATACTTAATACAATGTAAATGCTATATAAATACTTATTACATTGTACTGTTTAGGGAATAATGACAAGAAAAACACCTATAAATCATCAGTACAGAGGTAGGCATTCATTGTTTTTCTGAATATTTTTGATGCATGGTTGCATTCACAGATTTGTAATCCAAGAATATGAAGAGCCCCTGTACCAGGTAAGAGGGACATTGATGGAAACATTACAGTTAAAACTGAGGTTACAAATACGACAAGTGTTGCCTGAAACTATGAGAGCATATAATAAGGGGGCCTATATTTAAAAGTAACATCTCACATAATCCTCACAATGACCCAAACATGCATTTTCACCTTAAATATCAGGAAGCAAAATTGCACAGGTATTCTTAACATGGATGCCGGGTCTGGGCCTCAAGAAGAATCCCTGGTTCCTTCACTCTATGAGGGAGGTATGATACCCAAGACTCAAAGCCAAGTATGCATAGTCTTAACTCATAGTTCCTTCTGACACCATGCTTTCTACCACAGGCTAGGATTCAAAGTCAGCCATAAAGATCCAGAAATGAGTAAAACATACATCTAGTTAAGGGGAGAAGGCTTAATTGCTCTCTAGGTTGCCAATATGAAATGAAAAAGAATGGCTAACCACATCTCTCAGCATTGTCAAAATAGCCAATGAACAGAGAGAGCACTGCAAAGACCCCCAACTCAATTCAGACTTCATTTCTACCTATGTGGAATTGCTGCAGCCAGAAATTTAAGTAAATGTTACTTAAATGTAAGAGCCATGTACCTAACTCTTAAGTGGATATCCTCAAATGCAAATATCCATTTAAAATATACAAGAATTACTGTGATATAAAGTAACAATTGCTATGTATCTTTTACTTTTGTCGCCCAGTGGCCTTTAGACTCTGGATATATGTTAACTGGCATGGCTACTTTGGAATATTTACTCATATATGTAAACCATAATGGCCTTAAGGACTACAGATAAGGCTTCTTTCATATTAATCAACTATCTTTCAAAATGTGTACCGCAGGCTGTTCTCGGAATGGAGCTAGATTTCAGCCATTAGCAAAGGTCTACAAAGTAAAATCACTGTTACTGTTAACTTTTATTTTTCTGATTAAACATGGATATCATTTGGATATGTGTCCCCGCCCAAATCTCATCTTGAAATGTAATTCCCAGTGTTGGAGGTGGGGCCTGGTGGGAGGTGACTGGATCATGTGTGTGGATTTCTCATGAATGGTTTAACACCATCCTCTTGGTGCCATCCTCATGATGATGAGTGAGTTCTCTGAGATCTGGCTGTTTACACGTGTGTGGTACTTCATTCTGTCTCTCTTGCTCCTGCTCTAGCCAGGTGAAGTGCCTGCTCCCGTTCTGCCTTCTGCCACGACTGGAAGCTTCCCGAAGCCTCCACAGAAGGAGATGCTGCTATGCTTCCGGTACAGCCTGCAGAACTGTGAGCCAAGTAAGTGTCTTTTCTCATCCATTACCCAGTCTCAGGTATTTCTTTATAGCAATGCAAGAAAAGATTAATATAACACAACACACAGACACATGAATAAACTCATAATACACTAATTAAAACAATATTTTGAACATTAAGAAAACATGCCCATGTAATTTTATGAATGTCTTTCGTATATCCTTTCAGGGATTGGACGTTCATTCTAACATACCTCTTATATATTGTGCATTAATTTAAAAAATAAAGGCTTTATGGCTTCACCTCTGCCTGTGTATTGATGGTGCTTTTAGTGTTTCACCTTTGCTGTTCTGCTAACATATCCTCAATAAATCGATCCCAAGTGCCAGAAAGCAAATAACCCTTTATTTTTTGCACATTTAGAATGTTTCCCCCAAAAAGGAGGGAGACGGTAGGTATTAGAGAGTGCCTACTGCGTGGTGTTCAATCACAATAGGCCCTTCGATTAATATTTATTCATTTTGACATCCCAACTTGTTCTAGTCTGTGATGGGGTCTTTAACCTGGCATCTGTGGATGGGATTAAGGGAGGTCCCAGGATCGCAGGAATTATATTACATAAGGTAAATACCTTTGCGTTGTGAGTCAGGTGTTACATTCCATTTCACAGTGGAAGATTATTGAGATCCAGCAACATACCCACATCATTGATAATTGGTAGACATGGGGTTGTATACCAGCTCTGTGTTACTCTAAAACACATGCTTGCTTCAACATGCCACACTGCCTTCTTACAGAGCTGTGAAGAAGTTGAAATCGCGAAAGCTATTAAAGATCAAGGCAGATAAACTTCATATTATGCAGCCTTCTTGTGAGTATAACTTTCAATTATCTCCAATAACCTTAACTACATACAAAACTATCATACATCAATGATGGATACAGAATTAATCTCATTTGAATCAAATCTTTAAAAGAATTTCAACTGTTGATATAATTTTGAAAACAAACTTTTTTCAGTTGAGGCATAATTTGCATATAATAAAGTGCAAAAGTCTAAGTGTTTGGATGGATGTGTTTTGACAATTGAATGTATCTATGTATTCACCACCTGAACAAAATAGACAACATTTCCATTACCCCGAAAAAGTCACTAATGCCTCTGTCCACTCAATTCCAACCCTCACCCAGAGGTAACCACTTTCTTAATTCTATTACCGTAATTGAGTTTTGCTGTGCTTTAACTTCATGTAAATACCCATATTTGTGTCTATGACTTTTGGCTCAGCATAATATTTTTGACATTCATTCATTCATATGGTTGCTTTTACCATTGGTTTTTCCTCTATTCACTGCCGAGTAAAATTCCATTCATGGTTTAACAGAGGCATCAACTTTTTGTGAGGTAGTGAGGGAAGGAGGAGGGAATGACTGCATTTCATGTGATACGTAAATGGAAAGAAGCACCTAGCTACACAAAGAGAAAAGGAAGAGCATTCTGGGTCTAAGAACAGAGAAACACGTGCAAAGGCCCTGAGATGTTTTAGAAAGTGAGGAAGCACTAATATGATTATCCTATATGGATTGAGAAAGGTTGACTTAAGAAGAAAATGGTAAAGATAGAAATATAATATATTCATTATGTGTTGTAATTCATTGTATTCTAAGCCATAATAAAGAGTTGGGTGTTCATCCTAATAAGATAAATCCATGAGGGCCTTAAGCACAGAAATGCCTTTATCTAGCTGACATTTTGAGAAGATCCATTTTGCTGCGGTGTAGGATTGAATAGGAAGAGAATAACAACAGTAGTAAGAGAATGTGACCTAATCTGGCAAGAGGGCAGAGGTGACCTGGCCTAAGATGGGGGAGATGCAGAGGAAGAGAAGGCAAATTCAAAATAAATTTTTGGAGACAGAAGTTGCATTGCATTACTTGCTTATAGATTAGATATAAAATGGGAGATAAATGATGGAATCATGTGGACTCTGCTTACCAATCAAGTAGATAAGAAGAAGATACTACTGTGAAATAGATGAGGGCTGGGGAAGGGGAAAGATTTTAAATAAAATGTCAAAGCTGCATGTGCGGCAGCCAATGAATTGTGTCATATGCTCAGGTGAACAAGCAGGTTTGGAATCAAGAGAAATATGGGATGGAAAGATAGAGGAGTTATTCAACTAAAGATGGCAGTTAAGTCCGTAGAAATGGATGCTATCACCTAGGAGGAGAGCGAAACCAGAAACCCTAGGATTGAAGGTATAGTCTCAAACTGTGACATACCTACCTCCGAGGAATTTGGAACAACTCACTGGGACACAAAAGAAAACTGTGAATGCTTCTATTTGTGTTTGCATTTATATTTATTGATTTCTATTTTCACATACGTTTACATGCTTAGTCATATTCATATATGATTTACAAATAAATGTACATTTTGTGGGAAGAAATGTGCTTATAAGTTTTGTTTCAATTAGAAAGCAGTCTTGAAATTTTGAAGAGCATTGCCTTAGAGGTCAAGAGGCGGAGGAGGAGCTAGCAGAAACAGCTGAAAAGAAGCCAGTGAGCTTCAACAGAAGTTATTGTTTCAAGAAGAAAGGGAGTATTCTGTTGTTCCCTCTTTCTATCTGTGCAGTTGTGGGAAATGTGAACTCATAGTTTGTCTCGTGTGGTCCTGTTCCAAATGCCATACTTGCTGGAAATAGAGTGCAGAGCATCCATAAAACAGTCTATAAGACTAAGCATATATAAGGCTGCCAAAGAAGTCATTTGTTACTATCTATCTTCCCATTCATTTTCTCAAGTCTAGTTCTTCTGCTGGCCTGTGGTTAGGGGGTTTATTCTGAGTATTTCCCTGTGTCTTTAAAACTTCACATTTATATTTGATGGTATTCCATGAAATCATCAGGTTACTTGTCAGGTTTCAAATATTACATGAACTATTTTGGAAAAAAATGTACATTTCAGGCTCATTTCCAGTCCTAAACAATATAAATTATAGCCAAGTATGGCATTTAGCCATTAATGCTGTCTTTCACTTCAGTAATGTAAAGAAATAATAGGCTTATGACAACTTGGATAATACATTTAAGCTTCTACATTATTGCTCCAGATATAAAAAAAATTTTTCACTTCACAGAGGTTCTACCTTGAAGAAAGAAAACCAGGCTCCAGATATAAGCCTGAAACTTTCCTGAGTTTCTGACTTTTGCCAGCCATTTCATCACACTAACAACATAAACCTTAAATAGTTAAAACAAATGTAAGGCATTTATGTTATATATTCAAATGGATATACCATGGAAAAAAAGAACCTATTACTGAATATTTAGTTTGCTTCAGGCTTCGCAATCATTATAGATTCCACATTTAATATATATATGTGCTGATTGAGTTGTCTTCATTATTTCTTATAAAATATCTCCAATGTTCAATCTATTGATCATGTTGAAAGAAAAAGGGTTTAGATGAGCTGTACACATACATATATACTCTCGGGATCATGATAAAACAAGACAGGTGGCCTGGCACGGTGGCTCACGCCTGTAATCCCAGCACTTTGGGAGGCCAAGGTGGGCAGATCACGAGGTCAGGAGATCGAGACCATCCTGGCTAACACGGTGAAACCCCGTCTCTACTAAAAATACAAAAAAATTAGCGGGGCGTGGTAGCCAGCGCCTGTAGTACCAGCTACTCGGGAGGCTGAGGCAGGAGAATGGCGTAAACCCGGGAGGCAGAGCTTGCAGTGAGCCAAGATCGCGCCACTGTACTCCAGCCTGGGGTGACAGAGCGAGACTCCATCTCAAAAAAAAAAAAAAAAAAACAAAAACAAAAGAAAAAACAAGACAGGTGACTTTGAATTTTAATGAACAAGTTAGAACCCTCCCCCAACATCTGGTTTTAAATGCTATTACTTTCGGTATGTATTGCTTATCTTAATAAGTATGATGAGCTTAAATATTAGCTTATCTTCGGGTCCCTCTCTTTTTTATTTTAATTTTTGTGGGTACATCGTAGGAGTATATATTTGTAGGGTACATGAGATGTTTTGACACAGGCAGGCAATGGGTAATAATCACATCATGGAGAACGGGGTATCCATCCCTTCAAGCATTTCTCCTTTGTGTTACAAACAATCCAATCACACTCCTTTAGTTATTTTTAAATGTACAAGTAACTCATTATTAACCATAATCATCCCGTTGTTTGATCAGATCAAATAGTGTGTCTTATTTTCCCTGTAGAATTATTTGGAAATTTTCTGTTTATGTTTTCATGAGCTTTGGGATTTGGGGAAGAATTTCAGCATTTTTGACTTAAGATATAGTTGGTTCACTTAGCCCAGCAGTGAACTTCAGGGGGTCAATAGCATGCAAATATGTATTTAAATATTAAACATTTTTGTTTCTGTTAACATCAAAAATTTATTGGACATTTAATCTTTTAACAGAAAATATCTCATGGTTTCATATGAAAAGTGGATGTTCTTCACATTTTATTTATTTCAAATAATTTACATTTATTTTTACTTATTGGAATTGGAAAATATAAGTTGTATATATCACGTATTATACAACACATTGTATTGAAAAATGTGGACTAGCTAAAATGAGCTAATTAACATATGCATTACCTCACATACTATTTTTTTGCGGTGAGAACACTTAAAATCGACTCTCTTAGTAATTTTCGAAAACATATTATTATTAATTATAGTCACTATGTCGTACAAAAGATCTCATGAACTTATGTCTCCTATCTAACTGAAATTTTGTATCCTCTGACCAACACAGCCCTTTTGTATCCTTTGATTTTAAAAAAGGCGTTGTTTAATTTTAACAGTGTCAAGACTTTTAATGATACCAGGTCCTGAAAATGTCAGACTGTGTTTCCCATACAGTTTCTTTAGCATGAAAGGGGATGTATGCATTTGAAATATAGTAGTTGATGAACATCTTTTAGATTTTTCAGTAGAATTAAAACTGGATGATAAAAATTCAGCACATATCAACTATATTCCAAAAATCAATAAAAGTGCCTAGGAGAAACATTTAAAAGGTTAAGGAAATTAAGAAAATGGATAAGATAATAAGATAATTTAAGAAAAATTATCCAAAACTTAGAAGTAAAACAAAAGATGATCGTGTGTGTTTCAAAATAATGGTAGCGTTGTTTTCTAACAAACTCCTCACACCCTCACAAGAGCTTCAATATTTTCAGAGTAAAGCAACTCTTACTGTTTACTATTAATTTGGGCCCACACATGTTACAACGCTATGAAGTTCAATGCAAATTTTAGAAAACTGATATGATGTAAATGACTTTTTACCCAGTAGAGGATATAACCCCAAAGGCTGTAGGGTATCAACGAGTTTAGTATCTTATTCACTAATCTTATTCCAGAATACTTTTTTAAAAATTCACTCATTATAGAAGCATTTGTTTCTTGTATTCTCTTTTGAACCAGTTTTGTCTTCCTACCAGCTCTCCAATTACTGTATTAAATAAAACCTACCGTGAGTTCACTATGATTTACATGAAAATTATGTTTCTTCATAAAATTTCACTGTGCTGATAGGTGGTAGAATTATGAATTTTCTTTGTACTTTTCTCCATTATTCAAAATGTCCCCAGTATACTCTGAACAAAATTAAACATTTAATTGGAAAAAATACATGCTATATGCAAATCTATTTAGCTTCGTGTTGCCTTAGGTATGCAAGACGTTACATATCATACAAAAAAAATCTAAGCCACCAAAGATAAAACAGTTTTGCAATCAATAGTGTTTTTCCTTTTCTCTTCCATCAGCAGCACAGCGATGTACAATAAGGAAATAAAGTAAACTTTAGAAATATGAAATGTGTATACGTATTGACGTGCTTATTGTGAATGCGATGAGAAAGGCAAGTCAGGACAGTGAGAGTCAGGTTCATTACACTGCATTCTCACACTATAAATGAAAGAGTAGCAAGTATTGGCTAAAATTCAATAACTTCCATGGCCAAGATACCTACTATAATTTGAACATTGATTCCCTTTGAGAAGCTTTCTCCTGAGGCACCATCAAGACAGATATTAATAATTAGTAGTTCAGCTAGGGGTTGGACCACAAATATCAACCTGAACAAACTACAGAACACCCTCCACATTTGCTTCAGCACTGACAGTTTTGAACACTCCCTGGTGGCCAAACTCACTTGTTTTCACCTTTGAAATGAGTTAGTTTTCACTGAGTGCTGTTGGGTACTGAGCCACTAGCAGAAGTGAGGATGTGCAGTCTGATGACTCACGGTTGCACGCCACTAAATACTGCCAATTACACACATTTTTCCCCTTGCAAATTTTGGGGAAGGGGGAGGGGTGTGAAGGGGGAGGGGTGTGAAGGAGGAGGGGTGTGAGCAGCTGCATATAAGGAGTGCCTATACTTTCTTTCTTTTCTTTTTTTTTTGAGACAGTCTTACTCTGTCACCCAGGTCGGAGTGCAGTGGTGCTATCTCAGCTCACTGCAACCTCTGTCTCCCAGGTTCAAGCAATCTTCCCGCCTCAGCCTCCTGAGTAGCTGGGACTATCAGCAAGCGCCACCACGCAAGGCTTTTGTGTGTGTGTGTGTGTGTGTGTGTGTGTGTGTGTGTGTGTGTGTGTATTTTTAGTAGAGGTGGAGTTTCACCCTGTAGGCCAGGCTAGACTCAAACTTCTGGGCTCAAGCAATACTCTCGCCCCAGCTTCCCAAAGTGCTGGGATTACAGGCTTGAACCACCATGCTTGGCCAGGAGCACCTATAGTTTCTACCTCAAAAACATAGCCCCCTATACCTTTCCACAGATTATATTGTTACTTTTGATATTGAACTTCTTTTCATTGTAAAAGCCTGGAGAAAATTTAAGGCTGTTTATATATCTGTTTTCTAAATCAGCACACCAACTGTGAACTCTGCACTTTTGAATTGGGATGAGAGAATGGAAAGAAAAAAGGTTGGGAGAGGAGCGGAGCTGGGAAGAAAGGTGATCTCTAGTCCTTTTTCCTCCGCTCCCTGCTCCAGCTCACTTTTCCAATCAGTTTTTATAATAAGCATTATTTATTCTCCTACAAAAGTCTCAAAGTTTACTAGTTATAAAAAACTCATGATGCTTTATTAAATAGGGTAAATTTGACTTTGTAAAGCAAAAATAACAAAATACGTAATTTGTAATTTTCAAAATATACACATGTAATTTGAAATTACATGTAATTTCATATTATGCATGTGTGTAATGCAAGCACACATGTAACAATACATATGTAACGTGTTATATATGTAACACGTTACATATGTGTTGCATACATATGCACGTGTTAGGTAACGTGTTTTACATGTCACATGTAACAATCAATTTCACATGTAACATCAGTTACATATGTGAAAACACACATATGTAATCACACACATATATAATTTGAAATTTTTCATAGCCACATTTTTAAAAGCAAAATGAAGTCAATTTAATTATATATTTTATTTAATCAACTATAATAAAACCATAATTTTAACATGCAATAAATGAGCATTTACTTCCTTTTTGGTTCTAAGTATTCAAACCCTGGCATGTGTGTTATACTCAGTGCCCATCTCAATTAGTACTAGCCGCATTTTAAGAGCTCAGTATCTTATGTGGCTAGGGGGCACTGAATTGGACTTTGCAGCTCTAAAGAGAGACCTCACATTGTGATTTTTATTGTCAGGCAAATTTCAAAATTATTTCTCTGCTTGGATGAGGCACCACGTCTCACTCCTTGCAAATACATCACTCTCACTACCAAATCCTGGATTAGTTCAGTGTTGATGTCATATTGTTATGAGCTCACAACACCTGTAGCATTCACACAAATAGGATACAGTGGTTTACCCCTTATCTGTAGGGGATACATTCCAAGACTCCCAGTGGATGTCTGAAACTGCAGATAGTACTGAGCCCTATATAAACTATATGTACTTGTGATAAATTTTAATTTATAAATTTGGCGCAGTTAAGAGATTAAAAATCATGAATAAAAATAGAACAATTATAACAATACATTGTAATGAAAATCATGTGAATGTGATCTTTCTTTCTCTCTCTTAAAATATCTTATTGTATTGTAGTCACCTATTTTCAGACAGCAGTTGACCATGGGTCACTGAAACTGGGGAAAGCAAAACTGTGGATATTTTGTTCCACCACTGTGGAGATGTACATTATGACTACATCATTACCACCATCTGTGGTTTTCCTTTAAGGGTGAGACTATTTATATGCAAATTCAAACACCCCCCCCCCCCCCAACAAGGAGGCCATATTTAGATTACCTCCTGGAAAGTTACTTAACTCTCTGGAATTTGAATTTAAATAAAGAGTAGACTTCTTATTTCATTTTGGGTTTTGAGAACTATATCAAGAGCTCAATATCCTGTGAATGAAATACTGATCATGCAAACACAGCCAAAGATTGTCTAGGGAAAATGCTGAAGGGAACTTTCCAAATCCACTATAGTTCTTCTTTCTTACCATTCCATTTATGGGCTGTCCACTTACTCCCTGGCATCTGTCCTGTGCCCCTTTCTGATTGTAAGTACAGTCAACAATGATACAGGCAAAGTCATTCGCTTATCTGTTTCTTTAAGACTCCAGTGCAATGATACAATTAGACTTCCAAATTCTCATAAGTCAAAAGGTACAAATCCCTGAAAACTGCTGAATGAGTATTGAAGTGTTGGCAGTTACAGCTTATGATAGAATTTTTATTTTCAAAAGAGAAATTTAATTCAGGGATATCACTATACGTATATCCTTTTATTTCCTTTTTGGGAACTCTATAAGAAGCCATACTTGTTTCATTGCTGGATCTCTTATTTCCTGGAATAATACTTGTCACACAGTAGGTCAACAAATATTTGGTTAATTTATGTATTGAGAGAATTGCTTGGCACAATTCAACCCTCTCAAAGTTTATGCAGGTGAGCACCGTGCAGTATAGTCTCCTTTGGCAGCAAGAGCTTAATATCTGATTTTGAGAGAGCTGAGAATGATACGCAAAACAGCATTAGTTTCTTCCCTATATTTTTAATTACAGTAATGCTGTCTTTTAAAATAAGACTCCTGAGTACTTTATGATCATAATAAATCCATCTTAATCGCATTCACTGCTTTATTTTCTTTTTTATTTCTTTTGAGACAGAGTCTCACTCTGTCGCCAGGCTGGAGTGCAGTGGCACGATCTTGGCTCACTGCGACCTCCGCCTCTCGGGTTCAAGCGATACTCCTGCCTCAGCCTCCCAAGTAGCTGGGACTCTAGGCATGCACCACCACGCCTGGCTAATTTTCATATTTTTAGTAGAGATGGGGTTTCGCCATGTTGGCCAGGATGGTCTCGATTTCTTGACCTAGTGATCTGCCTGCCTCGGCCTCCCAAAGTGCTGGGATTACAGGCGTGAGCCACCGCACCCAGCCCACTGCTTTATTTTCAAGCAGAAAACATACACAACACCTTCAGATGGATGCTAAAGTAGAAATAAACTGTTTAAAAATGATTGTCATGTGGTATGTCTGAGAAGAAAATAAGCATCACAGGATCACAAAATCTGTTAAATATCTGTCTCCAATCATGACTTGAAGTTGCACTCTTTCAAGTATGCTAAACTGCAGTTTTCCTTTAAAGTTCAAACCGTAATTATAATGTAAAAACCCAGGAAGTATACAGCAAACCGTAAGTATCCTAAACAAACTTAAATCTTGAAAAGTGCAAATCTCATCCCCAAAAGCCTTTGCTCAAACACATTCTGCAACTGTGGTTTATAGGCTAAAACACAGACTTGTCTGTGTACCGTGTAATGTCCTTTGCAAAGTTTTCCTAACCTACCTGTCTGGCCCATGCTATCACCCTCCATCTGGAGGCCTGGGATCCCAAAGCTTTTGCCACTTAATATTGGTTGCCATTCTCCAAGCTGGCTTTTCCAGACTGAGGTCATCTCTTCTGTTTCTATAAAACTTTTAAAATACAGTTATTATGGAAATTTAAAACTATTATGCTATATCATAACTTTGAGGTTTATGTATCTATCTCTCCCTGCACTAGACTGGCTTTCTTGAGTGCTGGAAATATGATTGATTCCTTATTCCCTCACATAAAGGCAGGCATCTGCCTCCCTGACTGAGGTAGGGTCACTGCACAAGTAGTATTGTTTTCCTCAATGTTGAAACTTTTGGTCTGCAGCACTGTCCTGAAACTTAAGAAAACTATGTTGAATGAGCCAAAGAAGGCTGATATTCAGGGAACAGTAAATTTTAAGGAAAAGCAGTTTTGCCTGTAGGGAACCATGTCTTATGGTGGGCTTTTCTCTTGAGGGTATTCTGAAAGGGAGGCAATTACTAAATCCTTGGCTATGATCTTCAAAGGGCTTCTGCCCTGTGGAAACCAAGAGGCTTTCTTAGAGACCATCAGCCCTTGCCATACACAATCCAATGCTCATGTCCTCCATTTGACAGCCGCTTGCTAAATTCCTCCGTCACCTCAGTAACCTATGTCTTAGAGTGATATAGAATCCGCCAAATCTATATATCAAACAGAGATTACCATGAGAGTAACAATGTAATTGAAGGCACTTCTTAAATTATGAAGTGCTTTGTTATGTTATGACTACTGTTATTATCATCAACAACCCTAACATCATCTCTAATAACAACTCCTTTTAACATCCTTCTTTTAATACACTATGGGTCAAATTATAATTATATTAATAAATATGTTATGTCTCAACTTTACTGATGACAATATAAAATAAGTTTAATTAGAGCTCTACTCATAACTAAATAACATTTTTATGAATAAAAGAAGTTTCATCTTCATCACTTAATATATTTAAGGTCTCTTAGGAAGACCTTGTCCTGTAGTCAGTGGTATTATTCTTTTTATTAGTTTCCTCAAGATTTATTAGGCAGAGCAGTGACTTAATGTTTTTGGCTTAACATTTCTAACTTCTAGCTGATGAACAGTAAAAAAAATATGGTGTTTGAATCCCAGATTCTTCATTTATTAGCTTTATGATTTGGGATAAAGCGTTTAAACTTTCCGAAATTTTTGTCTAAGAGTTATAAGAATACCTTTTCTACCTATCTTGCTGGGAGTATTTCAAAATCACATGAAGTCATATTCTTGGTAATTTTTAAAACAGCATGCAAAAGCAAGGCACTAAACCAACTTTATAAATTACTGCAATGAAATAAATCTTGTATTACATCTTTCTGTGTATATTCTTGTAAAGTTGATTTTGTACTATTTTCCAAAAGTATTAGTTTTCTGAACTGGCTTCTTAATTTTCTAAAACTTATACTTCCTTACACTCACCATATTACAACCTTGTGACACTCAACCAGAAATCACCCAACACACACATACACATACAACTGTGTTAGTCCCTTCTTGCATTGCTATAAAGAAATACCTGAAACTGGGTGCTTTAAAAAGAAAAGGGGTTTTCTTTTGACTTACGGTTCTGCAGGCTGTACAGGAAGCATGTCACTGGCATCTACTTCTGGTGAGAGCCTCAGGAAGTTTACAACCAACCATGGTGGAAGGCAAAGGGGAGAGCAGGAAACAGGTGGGGGTTGAGGTCTCATACTCTTTTAAACAACCACATATAGCATGAACTAACTTGTCACCAAAGGGATCATTCATGAAGGATCCACCCACATGATCCAATCACACCTACCAGGCCCTGCCTCCAACATTGGAAATCACATTTCAATATAAGATTCGGAGGTGATAAACATCCAAGCCATCTCTCTCTCTCTCTCTCTCTCTCTCTCTCACATACACACACACACACACACACACACACACACACCCACACACACACAGTCGCAATTAAAACAAAAAATCTGTGAAACATCTATTTGTGATGAATGCTGATATTTTCTATTTTGTTTCACTAAAAATCAAAGGCCGGTGTTGATCCACAAACTGAGTTTATGATTCACAGTTTGGACAATGAACACTAGCATACTAGATTTAAAAAATGAAATTAACCAAAACAAAACCAACAATAAAATAAAAAATGTCCTCAGCATTATTTTGTGCCATTTCTTTCCATGCATCCAACACGCTTACCAAGAGTTCCTCTCATCTTGTCATTATCATACCACAAGTTTTTCTGACACCATCACTTTTCAACTTTTTCTCATTTTCATGGATTTACAATTCTCTCCCTTATTTTCATATCGCTCTCTCTATGAAGCTTTCCCAATTCTTCTGGCTAGTTACTCTTTGGGTTGCCTCTGCTCTGACTCATCAATGGTGTACCGACCTCTATTATATCTATTAGATGCTATTTTTATGGCTTAAATGTCCATTTGCTAATTATACCACTTAAATGTTTCAATTGTTTAAATGTCCATCAATTTCAGCAAACCTTGGATTATATGTGAATAGGTTAGGATTGTATCAATTTCAATATCCTGAGCACCTAGCATAGAGCCTGACACAGAGCAGCTCCAAAAGTAAAAGTTTTCTGAATAAATGTGTTGATGTTAAAGGTTAGGTGAAATGTAGAGAAGTGTCAAAGTACACAAGATGTTCAGGTTTTCTAAGATAAAGGTAATCTCCCTGGTGTGATTCTGTCCTGCACAGCTGTTCTCTTGAGCAGTGGTCCTTTATCATCATCTGCCTTCTCTCCCACCTAAGTGCGTCCTGCCACCTGATGGACGATGATGGACATGAGTCCTCTGAGGCCCCAAAACTATCTTTTTGGTTGTGAACTAAAGGCCGACAAAGATGATCACTTTAAGGTGGATAATAATGAAATTGAGCAACAGTTATCTTTAAGAACGGTCAGTTTAGGGGCTGGGGCAAAGGATAAATTGCACATTGTTGAAGCAGAGGCAATGAGTTACAAAGGCAGTCCAATTAAAGTAACACTGGCAGCTTTGAAAATGTCTGTACAGCCCATGGTTTCCCTTGAGGGCTTTGAAATAACACCATCAGTGGTCTTACGGTTGAAGTGTGGTTCAGGGCCAGTGCATGTGAGTGGACAGCATTTAGTAGCTGGGGAGGAAGATACAGAGTCAGAAGACGAACAGGAGGAGGATGTGAAACTCATAAGTATATCTGGAAAGCGATCTGCTCCTGGAGGTGGTAGCAAGGTTCCACAGAAAAAAGTAAAACTTGCTGCTGATGAAGATGATGATTTTGATGATGATGATGATTTTGATGATGAGGAAACTGAAGAAAAAGCGCCAGTGAAGAAATCTATATGAGATACTCCAGCCAAAAATGCACAAAAGTCAAATCGGAATGGAAAAGACTCAAAACCGTCAACACCAAGATCAAAAGGACAAGAATCCTTCAAAACAAGGAAAAACTCCTAAAACACCCAAAGGACCTAGTTCTGTAGAAGACATTAAAGCAAAAATGCAAGCAAGTATAGAAAAAGGTGGTTCTCTTCCTAAAGTGGAAGCCAAGTTCATGAATTATGTGAAGAATTGCTTCCAGATGACTGACCAGAGGCTATTCAAGATCTCTGGCAGTGGAGGAAGTCTCTCTAAGAAAATAGTTTAAACAATTTGTTAAAAATTTTCCATCTGATTTCGTTTCTGTAACAGTTGATATCTGGCTGTCGTTTTGATAATGCAGAGTGAGAACCTTCCCTACCATGTTTGATAAATGTTGTCCAGATTCCATTGCCAAGAATGTGTTGTCCAAAATGCCTGTTTAGTTTTTAAAGATGGAACTCCACCCTTTGCTTGGTTTTAAGGATGTATGGAATGTTATGCTAGGACATAGTAGTAGCAGTGGTCAGACATGGAAATGGTGGGTAGACAAAAGTATACATGTAAAATAAAAGTATTTTAATAAAGTAAAAAAAATGATAAAGGTAATCACATTAGAAGATTCATCTCTTGGGTGCAACAGCTAGGGTAGCCTCCCAAGCCCTGTGTGGTAGTAGTCAGTATCACTACTATGGTTTCAATGTTTTTCCCTCCAAAACTGATGTTGAAATTTAATTGCCATTGTGACAGTATTAAGGGGTGGGAGCTTTAGGAGGTGATTAAGGATTGAGGGCTCCACCCTCACGAGTGGGTTTGGTTCCCTTATAAAAGTGGGAGTTCAGCCCCCTTTTGATCTTTCTTGCCCTCTAATCGTCCATCATGTGATGACATATCAAGTAGGCCCTCGCCAGAGGCTGACACCTTAATGTTAGACTTCCTAGTCTCCAGAACTGTGAGCCAATACATTTTTGTTCATTACAAATTATTACCTAGTCTTAGGTACTTTGTTACAGCAGCACAAAACGTATTAAGAGAGTTACCTACTTATCTTTTCTGAACATCATTACAATTCCATTTCAAAATTTCTGCTCTTAATGATATCCCAAGGAGACTAGAAAATATTTCAACAGTTCAGCCACTCTTCAATGAAATTATCTTGCGTGGTCATGTACTCGTTAAATTGCCCTGACCATTCTTTGAAGGATAGCACTGGTTATGAGATTAAATTTGAAAGTTCCTATGAACTATCAGTTGAGTGAATTTGCTTATTATAGCATATATCTTAATCATATGTTCATAAGCCTCCATTAAGCCAGGCTGCACAGTTTATTTTTTTAACAATTGCATTGTTTTAAAGTTACAGTTGTTTCAGCAATCCATTACTAGTATTTAAAAGTACACACATTGTCCTTTTGTAAATACATACAACAGCCATAAATTATAAAAAAATAGAAATTCAAGGATAAAATGTTTGAAAAATGTGTTATTTAAGATTAGCAGTAAAATTGGATTTTCAAATAAATCCATGTTAACTAGGATTTACAATACAAGCCTGTACTATGAGTTGTAAAGCCAGGATTTTGAGAACTATGCTGCCACATTAAATTTATTCATTTTCACAGCCTGCAGACATTTTAATGCCTGAGTAGCAATAAGAACAAATTACCAAAAAAACTTTTAATAGGGTATAATAAATTAAGACTGAATGGTAATGCAAACGTGGGTACAACAGGACAAAATTATGAATCTCATATAATGACCCAACAACACTTAGAGTGTGGAAACAACGTTGGTATTCTGGGATATACGACCACGGTTAATCCTAATTGTTTTTCCCTTGTCAAATAGAAATTGCACATCAATCTCAAAGTATTACAAACTGTTCATTACATGCAAATGGTTATGTTCTGCAGGCTCTCCAAGGGGACTCAACCTTCTTTACAAAAGGAGCCAGGCTAGAAGCAGAGTTTCTCTAATGACAGTAAGTATCCATTAGAGTTCCTCATATATAAGCAAGAGAGACTGCCTCTGATTCCCAAAGTCAGGTTTTCCCAAGTCAGACTAGGTATCCCAGAGGTGTAATGGAGGACTGTCAATTAGGGGGCAGGAAAAATAACAGCTGGAAAAACAACCCACCATTTGTCCTAGGCCAGATCCAGTACTTTCTGGAGTGTTTACTTACTGCCCTTTGCTTTAGACGTTGTGCCTTAAGACGTTGAACTCATGAGACTGTGAGCTCATAAAGAGAAAAGGAGCTCTTAGTCAGCTCTGTATTCCTAGCAGCAAGCAGTATCTGCTTTGCACACAGTAGGATCACAATATATGTTTGTTACATGGGTTCTGGTATTTAACATATGCTCCAATGGGTAAGAGAACAGGGCCATCATATTGTTAAAGTATCAGGCAATGTGAAAATTTTAAGTGCTCTGTACACAGAAGAGGTGAAGGAAGCTCAATGTAAGAGAGAATGTTTTGGCTATGAAAAGCAAGGACAAACTTGGGGATCATTTGTCTCAGGTAATACAATAAAAGTATCATTTTTAAATTTATTTATGTATTTATTCGTTCTACTGAATATTACATTTTCAATATATGAATCAATTTTTCTACGTACCGAGGTATATTGGTGATCGAGAAAGACCAAGTACCCAAAATATGTTCATTCTAATGGAAAAGATAATAAACATGAAAACACATACTACAGTTTCAGCAAGTGACAGAGTTATGAAGAAAGTTAAGCAGATCTCCCAGAAAGAGTTCAATTTTGTGTGTGTGCATGTGTGCGTACGTGTGTGCTTTCTTTAAGATGGGGGAGTTACAAAAGGCATATCTGTGAATATAAAATTAGAGCACAAATATATATAAAGGGAAGTGTACAAAAATTCTGAGAGGGAGTAGATTGGGACATGGTGAGAAACTGGAGATAGGGTAGAGCCCTCTGGTAGAGAGAAAAGCAAATTTAAAGGTAGAAACAAGCATTCTAGGGAACAGTAAGAAGGGATGTGAAAAGAAAACACGAAGATCAATATGGCTGGAACATCGTCCTTGCAAAATATTATTTCATGAAAATTACTTCTATTAACTTTAATCTTACATTTCATTAAATGACAATTTCTGCTTCTCATTGCTTCCAGAATGATGGTGCGCAGTTTTGTTTTGATTTTTTCTATTTGGAATTTGCAATCAGCATTCTTCTCATTTTTTGTAGTCTCTTACTCTCTTGATAATTTCATGCTCTAAGAATGGGAATCCCTTAGGGATGACATGTTTATCCTGCATTTTAAGCAGTTCTTTACCGTGGTTACTACAGTAAGTTATGTTTTTTTGTTCTTGCTTCTTTCCAATAATGTATGAAAATCTGTCATCTTCTTAAACATGCCATGCTGGACAACGGAAGTCTAATAACAAGCCACTGAAATTATCCAATTATTTTAATATACTTATTTCTGAAAGATACACTTGATGGGCAAGGATTGAAAGCCCCTCTCGGAATTTCTGCCTGGTACCACACTCCCAGTAAATTGGTTATTTACTACTTCTGAAAAGATGGATAGGGGCCAAAAAGTTGCAGAGGAGTTTCCAAGCAGCAATAAAAGGGTAACAATATTTACGCAAGGATGAAGTGCCCAACTGTTTAACTGTATTAAGAGACTTAACTCTCATGCCACTACCAGCTAATAACTTTGAAAAGCTCATTTTAAAATGTATTCCCACACTTACACATTGCTGTAACCTTAAAGTAAGTGACTAGAGACAAATTCTCTTAGCAGTAAATTTTCCGGCTGATTCCCTTATGCTAGTGTATGTCTTCTAGTTACAGAAACCAGGATAGCTTTGTGACCACAAAACAAAATCTTATGAAATTTTATTACTGCTGGGGAAATATAAAGGACAAGCAATGGTATGAATTATTCTTAACGTTAGGGTCCCAGTGAAGGGCAACAGATGGTAGAAATATTTACTCCAGTGATTTTTCCATCAAAGTTTCTATCAGCATTTGAATCTCAGCAGTGTGGCTGTTAAGAAGCCGTCAAACTCAGCAGCCAGCTGGTGAAATCACAATGTAAAAACTGACTATACAGAAAATATACTTGTGTCTGATTTTTTTACATCATATGCCTTTTTCTAGATTATCCTTTAATTCAATCTGTATTAATATAAATTCACTTACCTCCTATAGAGTTCTTTGAGGCAGTAGATTGCCATGTTAGGTGTATCCTAATAAAAATACGAAAACTCATTCTCTGTAGCAGATACTGTCAGTGACCTATGCACATCTATTCAGCACTCATCATTTTTGTACAAGTCAATGACCTTTCAACGGCAGTACCTGTTAGATAAGGGCTTTCTGGGCTGCGAGTGCTGAAAGCAAGGCGAGAAGAATGAGAAAACCTGGGTATTTCCATTAAGAGGAGGACGGTCTTTTCATGGACTCGCTTGTCTCAAACTTTTGAGCAGGAGTCACTCCAACTCCATTGTGCTCTCTGAATCTAAACTCTTCAGAATTGGGTCCTTTAAAAAGTGCTTTAGAATTTTCTTCAATCACTAATAACCATGGTAAGGTAAAGCTGAAGAGCAGCTAAAGGGAGAGCTGAAGAGCAGCTAAACTTGGCTTTGACATTTTTGTACTCTTTTTTTGCCTTCTCTCAACTCCAAAGCACCAGTGTGCTCTTTCTTTCTCCCTTTTGTTCCTCATCTGAGAGATCACAGCAGGGTCACCATGCTATAACTACATGCTTTATATGTAATTTTCCATTCTCTCTGGACATTTCACATTTGAGAAAAGGGAGTGTATTTTTCTTCAATAGAATATGACGTTAAACTATAAGTTTTTCAACATTTGATGGTGGGACCATGTGAACATTAAAATATGACATATGTAATCCATATTTACTTCTGTATGCTCAATGACAATGAATAAATTTTTACTTTCATATCACAAAGTAAACAGTTTTTTATTACATTTCTTTACAGCAACATATATAAATATATTGCACATTTACCATATAACATAGGTTATGGAGCAGTAAAACACACTAACATTGCAAAAGATACCAGAAAACCAATTAGCTTAACCTTAACAAGACTATATTTTTTCCCTAAAAACAGCAGTTTATTCATGTCAGAATAACACACTGGTGTTTCGCTCCCCATGTCTGCTTAACATTTGTTGATTTAAAGCCTAAAAAATTTCATCTAAACAATACCACTACTGTTAATGTCTTAAGGTCGATTTCAAATGGAATACCTTAAGATTTTAGGGTCTCAGGCTTGTATGTCTGCGACAACGTTCTGCAGGAAATACTGGTCATTTTTAATATGGTTCATTCAGCAGCATTATTTCATAAAACAGATGCCATTTCCATTAATAAAAATATTCAGCTGGTTTAAATACTTAATCTAATGGTAATTGTTATTGTTTCTACTGGCAACTACAAACATTTTCCATCTCATTCTATCATAGCCCATGTTTTAAAACTTATTTTTTCCTAGTCTCCAAGAACATGCTAGCTTTAAATGTTAGGGCATTTTATAATTTCTACTTTCCTATTTTCACTGAAGGGACTTGAAAGCACACAAATTCACCCTGTCAATATATGAGCTAACATTATTTGTGTCACTTTCCTTCATGGTGTTCAGCTTTTCCTTTGAAAACTCCCATTAACATTTCTTCTTGTTAGCTAGGAAATGAGTAGGCAGAAGTGTCAGCTATCTGAAACAGATGCGTTTGGCTGAATTGGAATTTTCCTCAATTCCTAATCCAAGAGCCCTTATGCTTTGAGAAGAAATTATACTACATAAAAATAAGGTTTTATGAAATTTCCAGGTTGGTTTTTCTGCAGTGTGGATGTTTAGAGACGATAATTCAGTAAATAAGTCTTAGTTTGTATTGATATGAACTAATCACTTATAAAGAGTGATTAGTTATAATAGGGGCTTACATTTAATGAGTAATTATTTTGTGCAAAATGCTATTCCAAGTGGCTTTATACACATCTCATTTATATTTCCATTTTAGAGAAGAGAAATCAGAGACATGAAAAGAATTAAGATATTTTCACAAGATTCTACAACTATTAAGCTAAAGGACCTGGGATTTGAATCCAATCTTTCTGAGTCCAGCATTTAACCACTTAACCCCCTTTCTAAACTTCTATTAGAGCCTCATGTGGATTGTCACTGTTTTGGTGGATGATAAAACTTTGTATATGCACTCAATTACTGCTTGTTTAGTGAATGCATTAAGAGATGCTGATATCATTCAACGAATTTAATAAACCAATTTGAGTGGCATATAACATGATCAATATTTTTCTCAGGTAAAAAAATGGGATATTTTTAGAGAGGTTCTCCATAGTGGCATGGTATATTGCTCTGGAATATCTTCAAAAAGCACTAATTCATGTACTTAATTTTGTCTTTTACTTGCGACAGAGGAAAAAAAATAGAGTTGCATGGAACCAGATTATCTTTCTACTGCTATTGGCAGTCAGTATATTTTGAATGATAACACTAAGTCTCAGTTAAAGCACTAAATTCTCTTCTTTAAAGTGAAAAAAATATGATGCAATTTGATCAAAATACATAGGGACAAGTTTACAACATATATCTATTTGTTTATTTCATATCTAAAAGTTATTTCTTTACTGAAAATTGTACATATGAGGCTTCAGACTCCAACGTGCTTCTGCGTGTGTTTGTTTAATATATGGGCTGCTTGGTTGATTTTTTTCACAGTAACCATTACTGGCTCATGCCAAACAATTGCCTGCTAACAGCCACTGTCTACATCCTGTCTTCTAAAATAATTTCATAGTAAATATTGAAACTCATTCTCTTATTCATTATTAGTCAATCAACAAAGGCCAAGATAGCAGAAATTACCAAAGCTTTGATTTGCCTTATCGATGAAGGTATCTTACGGGGTTGATTTTACCCATTTTACGATAATTACTCAGAATGGAAAGATAACCTAAGGTACATTATGTGCGTGTATATGTATTCATGTGTGTGTGCACGCTCATGTGTGTGCACATGTTCATATGCATGATTTTGGACATAAAATAACCAGGAAAGAAATACCTTAACTGTTTGGGGGGTTTGTGATATCATTCACAGCTCTTTTCTGAAAGAATTTTTCCTTGGACATCTAGAATGATTTTTCTTATCTCATCTATAGATTGAGAAAAAATAGACTAAATAAAATGGTCTTTTTAAAATTATCCAGTTGGCCAGGCATGGTGGCTCACGTCTGCAATCCCAGCACTTTGGGAGGCTGAGACAGGCAGACCACCTGAGGTCGGAGATCTAGACCAGCCTGACCAACATGGTGAAATCTCGTCTCTACTAAAAATACAAAAATTAGCCAGGTGTGGGGGTGGGCACCTGTAATCCCAGCTACTCGGGAGGCTAAGGCAGGAGAATTGCTTGAAGCCTGGAGGCAGAGGTTGCAGTGAGCTGAGATCATGCCACTCCAGCCTGGGTGACAAAAGCAAAATTCCATCTCAAAAAAAAAAAAGTATCCAATTGAGGGGAAAAGTTTTGATAAAATGTTCATCAGTTTCAACTAAACCACACTGTCAAGAAATGAGGACCATTAGACATTCTCTGAAAATTTTAAATTATGATATATTCACAAAATTGTGTAATGTTAATGTATTAAAAGATCAAATTACATCAAAATAGTTTGTTTTGGACTTGTTTTCAAGTTGGAGTAAAGGAGGCTGAACTTAATCTCCTGCCTGAAACACCTGAAACACTTAAAAAAAAAAAAAAAAAAAAAAAGACAAAATATATGCTACAACGGTTTTCAACACATTGAACATCAGACATTGAAGGACAGTGATCCTTGCCAGGAGGCTTTTGTTAAAAGATGAAGCTGAGAGTTTCAGCAGCCCAAGGCTGACTAGTGATCACAGGGCAAAATACCAGAGAGGTGATATATACACAGAGGAAATTTTGGAGATTTGTAGAAAGCTTTATTTTATTCTTCATCTGAGTCTTGATCAGTTCATGTATGCAAGAAAACCACTCAAAGCTAAGGAAAGAACTTCACAAAAGAATTAAAGGAAACAATCACCAGAGCTCACACGTGGCTAGTAATACCACCTGTTCCCACGAGCCCCAGTGAAAAATTTTATCATTCACAGGACATCAGAGAGAGTACTCAGAAGGGTTTTGCCTCAGTAGTGGGGAAAAAGTAGCCCTAAACTTACACTGTTCTGGTCATAACAAAGCATAAAAGGAAGATTCTCAAAAGATCAAATTGTTTCCAAGTGAATTAACTGTGTTCCAGAACGAGGTTTGAGAATATTTATTTCAATATATTTGAATTTATTTGAAGTATCAAGCACGCGCTAAGTTAAAATTCACAATGTCTGGCATATAGTCAAAAATTACCAGTCATCCAAAGAAGCAGTTAAACAACACACTTAATGAGGAGAAAAATAAATCAATTTAAATTAACCCAGAATAGACACAGATGATAAAATTAGTAGAGAAGAATATTCTAACAGTTATTATATCTGTATTCCATATAGTCAAGAAAGTAAAGACTGAACATGTTGAGTAGACACATGGAAGAAATAAAAAGACCCAACTTTTACTTCTAAGAGATGAAAATGTCTGATGTTAAAAATATATACTACATGGGATTAGCCATAGATTAGACTTTGAAAAAGATTAGTCAATTTGACAATAGAGATTATATAAAACAAATTACAGAGAAAAGAGAGACCAAACAGACAATGAACATAACATCAGTGAGTAGTGGGGCACTTTAAGGAGCCTAATAAATGTACAATTGGAGTTCCATTTTTTTTAAAAAAATGGTTGAAAGGTTTCTAAATTTGATGAAATGTTAAATGCACAGATTCAAGAGCTTAACTGACTTCAAGAACAAGAAACATGAAGAAAACTACACCAAGTTACATCAAAACAAATTGCTTCATCGTAAAAGTACTCCCTAGTTAACCTTCTACATACAAATCTCCATTTTACAATGGCTTTCCAAGAAACCCAGCCTGAAATATGTAGCAAAATTCATACTGAACAACTATCCTCCAAAGAGTAGAATGGAGGTACTTTTACAAATTTCTATGTTACTTGATTTTTTTCACAATAAGTACTAATTTGATAATAAAATATAAATTGAAATATATAACTACCTTGGGTTGGATATCATTGAAAATGGCAAGTGGTTTCTATATCTACCCCAAAACATTTTATATAACTCTAATATGTTTCTGCCTCTCAGGCAGAAACCCCATTATGCTACATTAGCCCAAAATTCACTTCAGTGCTATTTTTAAAATGTATCTTCTATATTAAAGCAGATTGGGAATCCATACATTTCCTCTCTATACAAATGCCAACGCTGGTGTGCATGCAAGTTTGATTGATACACATATAATTACACAAGGTTTTAAAAATATTTTCTGTGTTTAAATAGCTTATCATATAAATAGGTGTTTAAATGCTTAACTCCTTAATATTAAAGGGCATATTTACTATGGAAACATATTTGAGAATGAAGACTTGTAAAGTCAAATGTGATACTGCTTTTGTGAATCCAGCATTTTGAAATATCTAAAGTATTTAATAAACTACTGGGTGTTTTTTGCCCTCATCTGTCTTAATCAGTATTTTCTGGCATTAAAAATTGGCTACAATTCAAATCCACTTGATTGACTATTGCAACATGAACAATTTGAGCTAAAAAAGATGCAAAAATAATTAAGTCTTCGTGTAATAAACACAGTGTTTCTTATGCCTAAACTATGTAATTTAGCAACCAAATTATATCCTGGACAATCTAATCTATCTTTACCTGCATATTCAAAGGACACCACAAGTTGAAATTAAACTACACACTGGTTATCATCCATATGCTGTTTCCCTATTAACATAAACCATAAAATGTCAATAAGTACCAACAATTAACTCTGCATTGTTTTGGCCTCTGGACTATTTCAGAAGGCATTTTGTCAATAGAATATATAGAAATATTGCTACAGCACTACAAAATTGTCTTTAGGAAAACAGAACTGTAATTTTATCATGATGGATATTTCTAGCAACTTCATTTTAGCTAAGTATGCCACAAGTTCTCCTTCTGGAAAGGTTCCAACATAAAGCCGAAATACACACTGCCCCAAAGCCACAAAACACCTTGCTGTTACGATGCTTCCCTCTGTCACAGATTCAATTATATTTTGCAGTTTATCAGATAAACCAGCTCCGTCCAGGCAAACTCTCTCATCCTGACACAAAAAGTCCATAGCACCGTGCTCTAATATTATCATTATGATAATTTTCTTTCTAGTAATATAATGATGACAACAACAGTCAAAAGTAATTTCCATCACCCTTCAGAACCTGATCTTTAAGAAGTTAAAGAGTCCAGATGTGCTGAAGATAAATACAATTTCGAAAAAACAAATCAAAGACTTACCTTAAGATACCATTTGTATTTAGCATGTTCCCAATTCTCAGGAATTTGTGTCTTTCTGAGAAACTGTTCAGCTTCTGTTAGCCACTGATTAAATATCTTTATATCATAATGAAAACGCCGCCATTTCTCAACAGATCTGTCAAATCGCCTGCAGGTAAAAGCATATGGATCAAGAAAAATAGATGGATTATGTAAAACAGATTATAGAGATATAGCGTATATTTTTTGGTTATACTGACAAAGATATCACTCTGATAGTTTCCTGCATTTGCAGAGTTTAGTTTCAAGTAACAAATAAAAATTAATATACACACCTAGCATGTACACACAACATTTTAAAAAAATACTCAATATAAAAGCTGATTTTAAATGGAAGGTTGCAATTTTTCCCTTTAAAATGAATATATTTATTGATTAAAAGAAAGATAAAGCAACTATTTTGGACTATTGGCATTTTCTTTCCTAAAAATATATTTTTTTAATTCTAGAAATTTACAAATATCTTAACATTGTAATAAATTATTTGGAAGCAATATATTCCCTTTCAAAATATTTTTGGATAAAAATTACTTCATAAATTCTATCACTTTCAATATTATTCTTGATCCAAAACTGCCTGTTCATCAACTGAAAGGAGTAATAAGTTCTAGTGTTCTATTGCATAGTAATATGAACAAAGTTACCAATATTGTGCTGTATATTTCAAAATAGTGAAAGAGAATTTTAAATTTTCTCACCACAGAGAAATTATAAATGTTTGAGGCTATGGATCTGCCAAGAAACCTGATTTGATCATTACACAATGAAACATTACACTGAAACGTCACACTGTACCCCATAAATACATATAGTTATTACAAATAAAACTTTAAAAATATAACTAAAATACCATTATCACACCAATAAATCAATAATTCGTCACTATCATTAAAGATTCTGTCAATATTTAAAATAAGATGACAGATATAATTCATATTGTAGGCTCACATGTAAGCATTAAATAACCGATATACTAAACTATGCGATGCCTTCTTTAATCCTTCTTATTTTATTGTAGTCACTAAAATTTTAGATTGGAATACTGCAGGAACTTAGTACAAGTCAAATGTGTTAATACTACACATGGAAAGAATATTAGGAAACAAGCATTTGGTCACCTTCCAGTCATAAAAGAGACTGAGGCAGAAATAATATGAACCAGGGCTGTATGTTTACCTAAGACAGTTGCACATAAGAATCAACTGGGGCATTTAAAACACAGCAACAACAATAACCAAACAGTGATCCTGGGGCTCCATTCCAGACCAACTTAATCAGTATTTCTGGAGGTTGGACACTGACGCTGTTATTTTTCAAAGCATCCAGGTGATTTCAATGTACAGTCAAGGTGAAAAACACTGCCGTAAAGTAAGATTTGAAATCTTACTGGGCTTACAGTCTACCAGATTTCCTGGGGCCTGCCCAAGCAAGCATTTGTGAGCACAAAACCAATAGCCATCCTACAGATTACCGGCTATGGTGCTGCCTCAGAGTACAGGAATCTGTCAAGCTTTTCTGAACTCTATTCTTAAGAAGCAATGGATCATACTTTTGAATACCATGATATCTTTTCAGTCCTCTACCTTCATTCAGGAATTTAAAGTAACACTAGAAGTTTTAAATTGCTACATCTGCCTACTGATGTCCTGGGCAGAGAAAGGAATTAACATTTATTAAACAGTTACTAATAGCCAGGCACCGGGCTCTGTGCTTTTATAGTGCCAGACACATCATTTCATTGACACCTACAATAACCCTGCAGCATAACAATTATTATTCCCATTTTCCATTGGAGAAAACAGAGGCCAAGTAATTTGCCAAAAGGTGAAAATGGTATTAAATAGTAGAGAGAGGCTTCTAACCCAAATATCTCTTGTTTCAATGGCACTTTTCTACCAGTGCACATGCTCTCTTGTGAAATTATTTTTCCAAGATGAAGCTTCACTTTATCAGTTAAACAATTAAAAGTGATAGTTCTAGAGGTTTTTTCCCCTTATTTTTATTAACTACCCAAAATTTAATAATGTATCTACATGTACATTGCACTCATTGTATTTAATGAATAATTATATGCTTAACCTTTAAAATCTTGTAAAACAGACAGCATTTTGGTAGCATAAAAAAGGCAACCGAAGGTAGCCGAAGAGGTATTCTCTAACTGTAGTTAGTGAAAAATAAGAATGTTGCCTTTGATGATTTATGGTATTCTAGAGTTATTCAGATACAATATATCCTTCCACAACAAAATGATCTTGCCAATGTTTTTGCATGTTTACTAATAATTTAGCATTCATATATTTTCAATGGTATATAACACACAATAAATGACCTATGAATATATCGTAAGTTTATTCCCTTTAAAAATGAATTGCACATTGCATATGTTACATGCATTTGCATCACTGGAGTCAAAGAGTTGCTTTTGAATGAGAATCTAAAAATCTATGCAACATAGTTAGCATTGTTCCATACTGGTGAGACTATATTTTCTTATATAATTTTTCTATATTTTTCAATTTGTCTACAATGTGCTTTTCATATTGAGAGTCAGAAAAATGAAATAATTTAAAATTTTTTTTTAAATGGCAGTCTCATATGCAAATGACTGCTAACTCCAACCCTCCTCCTGCTACCACAGTCTGAGAAACAGTCAGCAGCTAACCAGAGCACAGAGAAGTACCAGTTGGTCACGACTTACCACTCCACCTTTGTAGCAACCATCAGTCTCCACTCTTGGTTTGCTGTTTTTCCTACCCAATCACTTGAACTATACTTTTGCCAACACTTTTAGCTACTAGGAGGTGACTGTTTCTCTGACATACTGCTATAAATGCCCATTCTTCATTTCAGGATCCTGTACACCTCAAAGATTTTCGATTTCAAACCTGTTGCACAGACTTGTTTCTCAATCACTCATCATATTGGTAATTGCCATCCTCTATCAAATTCAACAAATCCCCCTCTCACCCTGAATTCTTTTCCTTTTTACAAGTTATCTACAAGTTTCTACAAGTTATCTTTCCTTTACATTCTCCCAAGAGAAGAAAACCGTAAGGGTTCATACACTTGCTCATGGTATCCGTAGCTCTGTAAGACAGAGCTGGAGGTAGGAAGAGAAGGGGAACAGGCCTTCCACTTACACCATTGTTCCAGGCCCACAAGAGGGAGGCAGGATGGACTTTCTGCCCGACCCCTGCTACTGTCTTAGGACTTGTGAATTTGCATATCGGTAGCATATTTCTGAAATGCCCTTCTTCCCTTTTTCTCTCGTCTCCTCGTATAATCCAAACTTTTGCATCCTCAAGGACCTAATAAAAATGACTTATGCTGTCACTTTATAAATATATAAATATGAAGTATTTATTACAGCATGCAACTGCTAAACCTTTGAAAACTGTAAAGTTGATTTAATTTTATTATTGAAATTACTGTTGAAATAAGTAACTATTCAAACAAAATATTAAAGAATAAAATCATGGGCTTTACATGTGATGACACTTAATGTGAGTAATAATACTTTAGACTCCATTTCAAGCCTCACATAAAATTTTAAAATACACTTTTCAGTATTTAATAGGTGCTGTTAATAGCACAGTCTAAATCTATTCTTGAATTTACTACGTAAAATTACATTTTTTATCATGACTACTTTTAAACTCTTTTCCACCAAGGAAAATTCCAAATGAAAAAAATATATATATATTTTTTCTGGTTTTACAAAGTTAGATTTACCAATTTAATATCTAATTAGTCACTGTGCTCCCTAAATTTGTCTCGCTCCATTAATTGGGCTGCCCATGAATGAAGCAAATGGTAACAATGAGAAACAAGTAGAGACATCAAAAATAGCATTCAGGGAAACAAATATAATTTTTGCCTTCTGTAATATTTCTAGGAAAAAAAGTTTTTTTTCTTGGCAGTAAGAAGAAATATGGATGGAACTTAACAAAGGGCAAAAAAATGTCAGTATAAACATAAGGATAATAAATCAAGTGATTTTAGAATTTTGCAAATATTAAAATTCTCATTCACCGTGCAACCGGTATTTAAAATTACACTGCTGCTTCATTTATGTGCAGCATAACTTATTTTCTGATGTTCTAAATCAAGTTAGTCAGATTATTCTCAAGCATAAATTACATTTAGGGAGTAATTCGGTACTCTGGGGCATACTTTAACACTTTCGGGCCATTAAGGTGGTAGTAAATTCCATGAAATAGATTTAAATAAATAACACCCTAGTAGACTTCTGACATATCCATTGTTGCTTTATACTTCGGTCTGGAAACTCAGCATTGGACTGCTGATTATTTCATCCCATCCCACATATTTCATCTTTGATTAGGTGAGGAGGAGGGACCTGAGCTCGTGTCTCATGGTCCAAACTGTATGTGCGAATAAATAAGTTAGTTATCTGCCCCAAATCATAGTACCTTGCTACTTCTCCCCAACCCTCAACTTCCCAAGTAATACAAATATTTAGTAAAAGATAAGTATACTACCAATTATGAAGTACTTACCTCCTAAGGTTAATTGTGGGAGCTCAATAAATGAGTATATATAAATTTCTTTTTTTACATCTTTTATTTTATTAATGTTTTTAAAAAATTCAAATTCAATAGTCTTTGGAATACAAGTGATTTTTGGTTACATGAATGAATTGTATAGAAGTAAAATCAGATATTTTAGTGCACGTGTCACCCAAGTAGTGTACATTACACCCCAAAGGTAATTTTTTATCCCTCACTACCTTCCCACTCTGCCCCTTCTGAGTCTTCAAAGTCCATTCTACCACTCTGTCTGCCTTTGTGTACCTACAGCGTAGCTCCCACTTATAAGTGAGAACATACAGTATTTGGTTTTCCATTCCTGAATTACTTCACTTAGAATAATGGCATCCAGCTCCATCAAAGTTGCTGCAAAAGACATTATTTCATTATTTTCTACGGCTGAGTAGTATTGCATGGTATGTGGCTGAATAGTATTTCACGGTATATGAAAATATATGCCACATTTTCTTTATCCACTCATTGGTCGGCTGGCACTTAGGATGGTTCCATATCTTTGCAACTGTGAATTGTGCTGCTATAAACATATGCGTGCAAGTGTCTTTTTGATATAATGAATTCTCTTCCTCTAGGTACATAATCGGTAGTGAGATTTCCAGATCAAATGTTAGATCTACTTTTAGTTCTTTAAGAAATCTTCATACTGTTTTCCATGTAGGTTGTACTAATTTACAATCACCAGCAGTGTACAAATGTTCCGTTTTCATCACATTCACAACAAAATCTATTCAAAACCTCTGGGATACAGCAAAAGCAAGGCTAAGAGGAAATTTTCTAGCACCAAATGCCTACATCAAAGAGCCTGAAAGTTCACAGTCTGACTACCTAACATCACACCTGAAGGAACTAGAGAATCAACAACAAAGCCAACACAAAGCTCCAGAAGAAAAGAAATAACAAAGATCAGAGCAGAACTAAATGAAATTGAAACAAAAATATAAAAGATCAATGAAACAAAATGTTGATTCTTTGAAAAGATAAGTAAAATTGATAGACCAGTAGTTAGATTAACCAAGAAAAAAAGAGAGAAGATTCAAGTAAGCTCAGTTACAAATGAAAATGCAAATTTCTTAAAACAGCATCTGGCAGTGTTCCACAAGTATGAGTAGTAGTAGTTGTTGTCATTATTAGTGTACCTCTATTTGGCTTAAGACTTTAAATGCAAATAAAATGACCAACATAGAATCTGAGCCATGCTAGTGTCTCTCTGGTGGGGAATAGACCCACCCATAAATTAGAAATTCCTTCTTGAGAAATTACCTTCTTTAATTTCAGGACTTAAAGTATTTAAATAGGCAGTGTCATTAGCCTGCTGATGAAATCTGAATCATTATTTCAGCATAGAATCCATGGTTGGCCATGCCTATCCCTGAGTACATTACATATATTTACTTTTTAAATGCTTTTTGTTGTGAAACATAATATAGGGAACCATTCATATAAACCCATGGTGACCATCACCCAGACCAAGAAATAAAACTTCCAGCAGCCAAATGGAACACTCTATATCATAGTTTCAAGATTAATCTACCTCTTTGCTTATTAGTTGTTGATTAATTTCTCACTGTATGATTGTCTTAGTCTGTTTGTGCTGTTATAACAAAATGCCTGAGACTGGGTAATTTACAAATAATACCAATGTATTCACTCACAGTTCTGGAGGCTGGGAAGTCCAAGATAAAGGCTCTGGCATTTGGTGTCTGGTGAGGGCCTTCCTGCTGTATCTTCACAAGGCAGAAGGTAGAAGGGCAAGAGAGCAAGCTGACTGAATGCTGCGTGAAGCCTTGTTTATAAGGGTCTTATTTTTATTAACAAAGAAGGAGCCCTCATGGCCTAATCACCACTTAAACACCCTACCTCTTAGTACTAGCACATTATCGACACCTGAATTTGGAAAGAGACACATTCAAACTATAGCAAATTTTACTATTAATAAATACTGAAGTAGTTTTGGTTTGGGGCTATTACTATGCTGCTATGACATTCCCAAACATGTCTCCTGGAATATGAACATATGCATTTCTGTAGAGTGTATATATAGAAGTGAAATTGGTGGGCTATAGGTTATGCAGATCTTTGAATTTACTAAATAGTGCCAAATGGATTTCACTCCAAGAAGCAGTAGTGTAATTTTACACTTCTATTTACAATTCACAGACCAAGTAACATTGTGTGAAATTTCTAATTGCTGTATATTCTCACCACCACATGGAATTGTCAGACTTATAAATTTCAATGATTCTGGTTGGTAAGCAGTGATATTTCATTTTAGTTTTAATTTGCATGGCCTGGACCATTAATGGGACTTAGAAATTCTTTATATATTTATTGGCCGTTTGGATTTCTTATTTTGTAAAGATGACAAAAATCTTAACGTTACTATGATGCATAAAACACATTAGTTATTTACTATAAAGTGATCACCTTAAAAATGCCATCCAGGTCAAGATACAGAATATTGCCAGCAGGCCACAAGCCCTTTTTGTGCCATGGTTCACTTTTCAAGAACTTTTCCCATTTTTCTATTGGATTATCTGTTCTTTTCTGAAAGATTTGTAGGAATTCTTTATAATTATGAATACACACATTTCATCCATTATGTGTGTATTCCAAATAATTTATCCTACTCTGTGGGTTTCATTTTTACTCTCTCAGTGCTGTCTTTTGATGTATAGATGTTATTAATATACAAGGTAGTCCACTTTATTATTTTTATTCATGATTAGTGCTTCATCATTTGTGTAAGCAATTTTTTCTTACCCTATATTAATTAACATATTCTCCTCTATTTTACTGTAAAAGCTTTATCAATTTGTTTTTTTCTCATGTCAGTTTTTAGTCACCTGGGATTTTATTTTTGTATATAGTTTGAAACAGAATATATACTTTTTTCCTAAGCAGGAGACTCCATTTTAATTTTTTAGGTAAAACATGTGCACTGTACAAGATAATGCATGAACAGCAGAAAAATAAAAGTGTGTGCAGTGAAAAGCATCTGTCCCAATTTTGATCTGCTCACTCTGGTAGTTCTGCTCTCACTGTTAATAAAAATTTTATAATTTTAAATATTTATAGAACAAGGCAAAGAAATAAACACAGTGATATAAAATGATAGTCTCCTCATTCAGTTTTACTGCTTTCAATATATTCAATGCTGATATTTTTACAACTCTGGATTGACATTATACTTTGTAACACTCTATTTTATTGATCCCTAATCCTCCCTAGGTTGTGAGCCTTGTTCTCAGGCTTCAAATACGTTTGGAGTCATACTTTGATTTTAAGTTTCTCACAGTGTTTATAATACTTGAGCTTAGGAACTCATTCTCATGCCTTTATCCCCTCTCTTCGCTGTTGAAATTCTACACATTTTTTCCCTTATTTCTCATAACTTCACTTATTGCATTCTGAATAAACAGCAAAGATAAATTTTCTTTGACCTGTACCACCAACATCAACACCTAAAGTGACCTCTTTCCCATTATAGGGGACTCTTCTACTGTGCTTAATGGAGACTAGGATGTGTTCCCCTCAAAGGAATTCTAGTTTTTATAGGTAAACTTGTTAAATGTCTTGTATGGACACTGCCTTATGAAACCTCATTTGCTTTCAAAGCTTCAACTAACATCTACAGCAGGTATTGGCAAACTTTATAGATAAAGATCTTGAGAACAAATATTTCAGGCTTTGTGGGCCGTATGGTTTTTGTTACAACTACTCAACTCTGCCTTGAAGTTCAAAAAAAAGGTATACATGGAGCATAAGCAAATGGATATGGCTGGGATTCAATACTACTTTACAAAAACAAGTGGTGGGTGTAATTGGCCCATGGGCAGGAGATTATTGACTCTTAATCTAGGCTGATTATGACATAGCTCCAAATTTCAGCCCTTATCTGAGGTATATAGCCAACTGCTACTTGGACTATCCTCATCAGAACATTTGATGTGAACCTCAAAGATGTTATGTCAACAATTCCTTATTTTCCCATGCAAGTCTTTGATATGATTTGGATCTGTGTCCCCACCCAAATCTCATATTAAATTGTAATCCCCAATGTTGGAGGTGGGGCCTGGTGAGAGGTGACTGGATCATCAGGGTGGTTTCTCACGGTTTAATACCATCCTCTTGGTACTGTCCTCATGAAAATGAGTGAGTTCTCCAAGATCTGGTTGTTTAAAAGTAGGTAGCCACCCACCCCCACCACCAACTCTCTCTCTCTGCTTTCGCCATGTGAAATGCCTACACCTGCTCTGCCTTCCACCATGAGTAAAAGCTCCCTGAGGCCTCCCCAGAAACAGATGTTGCTATGCTTCCTGTAGAGCCTGCAGAATCGTCAGCCAATTAAACCTCTTTACTTTATAAACACCCAGTCTCAGGTATTTCTTTATAGCAATGCAAGAATGGCCTAATCCAGTCCTTAGTTTTAATTTTAGTCAATGATTTCCAAGCTAGAAATCTTGAGACCATCGTTTACTTCTCGACTTCTTTCTTATCATGCTTGTCTCTATATTTTATCAATTCTAAACCAGAAATGACTCTTTAATTTAGCCTCTTCTCTCTAGCCCCACTGTCGTGGCCTTTCTTGAAAACTCCTAATAACTTTTCCTCAGCATATTCCAACTCATCTCTCCCTATTTTCGGTTTCTCAGCGCTCTCTAACAGACAACCTCACTTCCTACTTTGGTCCCTATACAAACATTCACATAGCCCACCATGTATACTGTACTGAAAACATAGAAAATCTGAAAATTTTCATAACAACCAAAATTCCTTTTTTACTGTGGGCCTTTTGCTGTATTTTAGAATGACACCCTATCTAAAATGTCACTATTCCATAAGGCTTCTCTCCCTTGGAATTAGTTACTTCATAAGACAAGCTTCCACAGCTTTGTGAAAACCTCTATTAACATACTACTTCATGTTCTAATTATGTATTTACAAGGCTGTTTGTTCCAGTACACTATGTACCTCTTAGAATAAGGAAGATGTTTTATGCACCTTTGAATTCCTGGTACTAAGCGCTGTTCCTGGTACATGATAAATGTTGAATACATTTTAATAACTGAATGAATGAATAAAAAAGTCCATGAGTAATTTCACAAACCCCTTATATCTTCCATTTAAGAGCCATGAATGCTTGGATACACTATTTTACCTCTGAGTCTCAGTTATCTCACACATAAACCCAGAATAATACTGCCTACCTCATTCAGCTTTTTCAGGAGGATGAAAGTACACTCCAAGTTATAAATAGCAATAAAATTTAGTATTATCGATATTAATACAGTTAGTAATCTATAAATTTTTAATACCGACACAGAATTTAGAATAAAAAAATCAATCTACATCAGAAATCATTTTCCAAATATATCAGCAATCACATAATTGTTGTTTTCATTAATAAAAGACACAAAATGATGATTCTTAAAGATAAATAATTTAGCAAGTTCAACACCATCCTAAAAAGAATACACTTTGCACAAATTTACTGAGACCTAATTTAAATATGAGGATGCACATTTAGGGACTGTGACTCTTTTAAGGTGAGTGTTTTAAACCAAAACAATATTGATAAAATTCACCCTAAAGAAGTCAATAGCATTATTTAAAAACAGATGATTGGATAAAGAATATGTGGAGATATATCTCCACATATTCTTTTATTTATATGTGTGTGAATGAATGTATTCCATTGTGTAGTATTCCATTGTGTGTCTATCCTAGCTTCTAAGTCTAAGCATATATATATATATATATATATATATATATATATATATATATATATATGTACACACACACAAATTGCGTATGGAATAAACAATTTCATATACACAATGAAAAATACTACAAAGCCATAGTAAAGAATGAAATCATGTCTTTTGCAGCAACATGGATGGAACTGGTGGTCATCTTAAGTGGAATAACTCAAAAACAGAAAGTCAAATATTGCATGTTCTCACTTACAAGTGGAAGCTAAATAATGTGTACACATGCGCACAGAGTGTGGAATAATAGACACTGGAGACTCAGAAGGGCGAGAGGGTGGGATGGGGGCGAAGGATAGGAAATTGCTTAATGGAGAAAAGGTACATCATTTGCATGATGGGTACACAAAAAACCAGACTTCGCCACTCTGCAATATATCCATGTAACAAAAATGTACTTGTATACCTTAAATTTATACAAACAAAAAAATAATAAAATTACTTAAATGTTGATTGCATTATTTGTAAGAACTCACAAACAATTCAGGTTATCACTAAGACTATTAAAATAAATCTTAAAATTCTTTAGATTTCTAAAGTGTTGTTTAAACTTTGCTGGACTCTTATTGGGCTTAAATCTCTAGACAGGCAGATCTGTGGAGGAGGACGCTGTAACAGAAAAGCCTCATCAATAAGCTGAAATTGCTTTAGATAAACGAGGACTTTTTGATCTGAAAGTGCACACAAAAATACATATACTTTAATATGTATATAAGTATACACACATATCAGAAACTTGGCCTGAGTGATTTTTAGGGGGCTAAGGGGACCTTAATTAAGCACTCTATTTTGGCTTAGGGGAAAACACCGTAAATATCCTTGAGATAAATTGATAAGTACTCAAATAGTTAGAGATTCATTTCTTTACCTATGCTTGGTATCTGATTATTTAACTCCTTAGTAATAACAAAGAAAGCAAAAGTGTCCCTGATATTACTATTGTCTAGAACTCCGCAAATTTTCTTTGCCCTTCTCTTTTATAAATCTCTTTGACACAATATAATGTTCCAGCAGACAACTGACAATGTAAAGGTTGTGATATTTGAAAATTCCATCATGATGGAAAAATATTCAGGGTGTACTATTCCTGCACTGCTTCTGAAAAAATATGTAGGATTATGCTAATATTAACCTAAAATTATGCAATTTCAATGTCTTGATTTGGCACAATTAGCACCCTGTAAAAATACCCAAAGTAGCAGAAATAGTTTGCTATTAGTGATCTGTAATGCTACTTTTAATACCAAGACCTTTTGGAGAAATCAGCTACAGAAACTGACTCAGCAGGCTAAGTTAAATAATTTAAATTTCTTAATAAGTTTAAACTGACATACTCTCTGAGGATTTGATATATTCAAGGGTCTCCTTTATAAAATGTGAGCATTTAATTGAGTCTTAATTTACATATCCTCTACTATATAGTCCACATGAAGAGGATATGGTGTTAGACATCCTAGCTTCCAAGTCTTAGCTTTCATTTGTTGGCTAGAGGGGATATTTGAAATAATGATGCCTTTCTCTTCATTCAAACACAAAACATATATAATAGGTGTAGGAACTTTTACCCAGAAATAGGAGCAAAAGCAACCACAAATATATGCTATGCACTCTAATTAAAACTTCAGATTAAGTACATGATTAAATATACTCCACAGCACCTTGGGGTAGGTACTATCATTTTATTCATTTTGCAAATGAGAAAACTGAGACTTTGGGAGTCTAACTTGTATGTTTCTAATCAGGAATGCAAGACAATAACATAGCTGAATAAGGATAGCTTATAGTGTATGTTTTTTGTTTCTTGTTTTTTTTAAGTGTCATTTGAATCAGTAAACACTGTATTAGCTTGTGAAAGAGAAAAAATCCTACTTCTCCTATAATATACTATCCTCTTGGAAATAAATCATGTTGTTATTGGATAGTTACACTCACGTGTTTCTGATCATGAAATTTATATTTCAAAGGAATGGATTAATAAATAACCTAACCTCCTTTCTAAGCAGCATTTGCTCAAAATAACATATTTCTAGACACTTCTCATTATATATCATGACAAGTACCTCATACTCTCAAATCAAAATGGAATTTCTCTTGATTTTTCAGAAACATCCTTGGTGGTTCTTCATCTTTTGGTTTATTTTTGTTTATATTATTCCTTTTCTTAAAGTATCGTTGCTTATATTGTCCTAAATTTTTCTATACCTTCCTCCATGAGAACCTTTCTGATACTACCAATTAGAAGTAATCCCTCCCCTCTTTAATAACACTCTTTTTATTAGGGTGATTATTTTTCTTGATTCTTTTTTGTAACCACCTTAATGAAGTATGATTGACATACAAAAAGCTGTACATATTTTACATATATATATATATATCTCAAAGAGTTTCATCATATATATATATATATATATATATATATATATATATATATATATAAAATCAAAGAGTTTGGGAATAAGTATACACCCACAAAACCATCGCCACCATGAAGGCTATAAACATATCTGTCATCACTCAAAATTTCCTCTTGTCCCCTTTATTATTGTTGTTACTGGTGGTAAGAACACAACATAAGATTTCTTAGGAAATTTTAAGTGTCCGAAACAGCATTATTAGCTATAGGCACTATGCTGTATAATAGATCTCCAGAATTTTATCTTCCATAACTGAAACTTTGTAGTCTTTAACACTCCTTTTGTCCTGCTTTAAAGAATTTATTCTACTCTAATTTACATTAGTGTCATTACGTCTAAACCACACTAAATGCTCCCTAAGGGTAGAAACTATATTGAATCACCATTTTTACCTCCTATAACAGGTGCCAAAAAATAATGTTGCACTTAATTTTTGCAGATTCAAATTTATCCATAAGTAATTTTAATACAAATAATTGGTATCCACTTCAAATGAGTATACCTTCTGAAAAGAAACATGGTTTTTTTTGTTTTGTTTTGTTTTGTTTTGTTATTTTTGAGACGGAGTCTCGCTCTGTCAACCAGGCTGGAGTGCAGCGGCGCGATCTCGGCTCACTACAAGCTCTGCCTCCCAGGTTCACGCCTTTCTCCCGCCTCAGCTTCCCGAGTAGCTGGGACTACAGGCGCCCGCCACCACGCCCGGCTAATTTTTTGTATTTTTTAGTAGAGACGGGGTTTCACCTTGTTGGCCAGGACGGTCTCGATCTCCTGACCTCGTGATCCTTCTGCCTCGGCCTCCCAAAGTGCTGGGATTACAGGCGTGAGCCACCGCGCCCGGCCAAAAACATGTTCTTTAGAACTCCCAAAGTATCATCTTTTAGTATGAAGATTTTTTTTGAAATTAAGAACAAGTAGTAAAACAATCAGGTTGTACAGCATACAAAATTTGAAGACAAGCAAACGTGAGTTTGAAATTCTGTTTTATTGCCTAACAGTGCTTTGTAAACTTCAGCAAGTGATTTAATTTCCTGATTTCAGAGTTCTCATTTGTGAAATAGGCATAATATATATTTCACAGGGTTGTTATAAGAATTAAAAATAATACAGTGAAGTTTTCTGAGCCCATAGTAAGTGCTCAATGGTGGCAATAACAATAATCATAATATCCAAATATATATACAGTATATAATTTCTGTTATTTAGAAAATATTAAGTTATCAAATACATGTACACATATATGAATATTTTCAATATCTATGAATGAGGAAAATATGTATAACTGATTTTATACATTTCCTCATTGGCACATGAAAGTTGTATATCTTCAGCTAAATTTAGTCTTCTTGCCCTTTAAGGCTCAAACATTTTACTATGTGTAAATGATTTTACTGCTATTGTAATTGGGCAAACCAAAACAATTACAGTAAATGGAATCATATGTCTTTGTTTCGTTCTCAACGAGGGAGGAACAGTACACTTAACACAGCTACAAAAAAATTTAACTTACTTTTTTCTGCTAAAGGAAAATGAGATGAAAAAGCCATTTTATTTTAAAACGAATGGCAGATTTTGATTTCGAGGCAAGTAAGGCAATTTCGTGTTATCTTCCCAAAAGTATGGTGAGAATACGAATTCCAAATATGCGGAGTATGAATAAAAAATAGAAAGGTATGACATTTTTCTTCTTAGGCAGCCAAAATGATATTTCTTCCATAGGCTGCTGCGGCAAATCAAAATACACCACTTGAGATCAGCTTACGAAAATGTCCCTTTTACATGGGACTCATTTTCTTTGGCCATAAAAAATTAAAGATTAAGATCTCTGTCTATCTTTGAATATATATGGCATGAGACCACACTTACAAATACATAAATAAAACTGAAACAATTCACTTTTTACTTAGCTTTATTCTAAACGGGAAATTCTATTTTCTCTCTTACTACTATTCTACTTTCTCTATTTTCTCTCACTGGCACCATTACCTTCCACAAGACTGTTTTTCCTGTGAAGGTAGTTATAATTAACAAGAGCCTATACACACATAAAAGTTTTCATTTACCATATTAGTGAACATATCAAGCTATCATTTTTCTTAATGTTTACTAAGTTTTACTTTATTGAAACCAATCTCAAAGGTTGCAGCATTTAAAAAAGTGACATTTATAATTCTCAATTATAAAATAATTTTCCAAAGAAAGAAAAAAATTCCAATTTTACTTTTATAAGTTGGAATTTACTATATATACACACAAATATAGTATGATTTGTGTGTGTTTGCAACACACAAATATAGTATTATTGAAAAAGGAGGAATTTAGATGTTCCAAGTGGCATTAACAGAAAATTAGTTCTGAAATTATGCCAGATTAGCATTTCAACTAGAAATTATGCCAGATTAGCATTTCAACTAGAAATAGCAAGGAAAAACTTCTAGGCTATAAGAGGTCATAAGTAGTAAAGAAAATAAGAACTATTTTCAGGAGACATGACCTATTCTGCCGGGAGTTGCACCCATAAGGCAGAGGGAACGGGTCCAAAATATTTTCTTATAAAAATAGAGATACAGTAATTAATTTCAAGGCAGATTTCAGTTTATCTATTTTTGATAAATTTGTTAAATCAATTAAATATGCCAGGGGCCCCTTATTAGGAGTATGGCTGTAAGGCTAATTTTAGTTTGAATCTACTGACACCATAAACATTAAGAGGATTTCACCCCCACTCCTACCCACTCCCTAGCCTGTATGTAACTGTGGGAGCAGGGCAGTTCCAGGATGACACCATGTTAGAAAGACAACTTCACTGCAAATTTACTGAACTGAAATCTGACCCAAGTATAGCAGCTCTAAGTCAAAGAAAATGTCATCACATCTGACTTACTACCTTATGAGTAAATATCATCACAAAAGTCGGGCCCCTTTTGCTATTTTATATTCTATCTTATTAAAACACAGGTGCACGAGGGAAATGTTCTTGGCATAAAACTACTACATTCATTAAATTTTTTCTTTCCCACACCGGAAGGCACATGTCTAAACCTGTAGGGGTTGCTTTATTATTTAATTAGAGCAGATTCTTTTCTATCATTTTAGGTGTTTCATCTAAAGTTTGATTAACATCAGTATATGCTGTGCTCTCAGGCAAGTAAATATAGCTGCCGTAGAAAGAGAAATAAGCAGAAGCAACATTTTAAAAAATAAAGAATAACATGAACATGGAAAGAAAAAGAACCTTTAAGAAATAAAATATCCACAAAGCTCACTAGAAATGCTTCCTAAACGTGTATGAAGCGTATGTGTTTGTACATTTTATTTCACCACTGATTCATTTACTCAATCTTTTGATAAACATTTATTGAGCGCTTAGTCCTGAGGCTAGCAGTGTGTTGAATTCGGAAGGTGTAAAGCTGAAAAAGATACTATCTCTATCAATGGGCAATTGACAGTTTAGTTGCACAGTATTTTAAGGAGGGTATGAACTGAAGTTGTAGCACATGCTGTACTTGCTCCATGCACTTCCCCTTGCCTTTCCATTTCAAAATACACTGGTTTGACTTCCAAATGCCAGCATTTGGATTTCATTACCTATGGAATCTTTCTGGTTGCAGAGGTCTGATGCTGATGTTACTGGGGTGGGGAGCATATTTTTCAACCAGTGGCATGGAAGGAATGGCCCAAGGGCTAGTTGGGCAAGATGTACTAGATCAACATTATGAAGGTTCATGAATATCAAAGTTTTTGAGTTCATTTATGCAGAAGTAGTTTATTGCAAAAGAGTACCACACAAAATAAATAGCTGCAGATCTTTCACAATACAATAAATTAAAAAAACTTCTTGGAGGGGGAGAATATATAGAGCATTCCCAATCCACTTCCTGGTACAATTTCTTTTTCTTTTATTTATTTATTTATTTATTTATTTATTTATTTATTTATTTATTTATTGAGACGGAGCTTCGCTCTTGTTGCCCCAGCTGGAGTGCAATGGTGTGATCTTCTCTCACCACAACCTATGCCTCCAGGGTGGAAGAGATTCTCTTGCCTTAGCCTCCTGAGTAGCTGGGGTTACAGGCATGCGCCACCATGCCTGGCTAATTTTGTATTTTAAGTAGAGAGGGTTTCTCCATGTTGCTCAGTCTGGTCTCGAACTCCCGACCTCAGGTGATCCGCCCACCTTGGTCTCTCAAAGTGCTGGGATTACAGGCATGAGTCACCACACCCAGCCCGGTACAATTTCTTAGGCTTCATTTTGTGCCAAAATTGTATATATATGTAAGCTATACTTCACCATGTTTTCCATTAACCCTACAACTGCGATTTCGGCAGCTTCATGCTTCTCAAGAGCCATGGTATGGGTCACAGTAAAACTGGCTGGTCCACCAAATAGACAGCAGGGACGGCAGTGGTGAATAGTCCCATGACCACGAGAGACCAGAAAGAATTAGTTGTCTATAGCTACTCTTGTCTGTGAGATTATAGTTCATTTTCGCCTTGAAAGGAAGGTTTTAGTTATGTTGGGTCAGGAAAAGACAGATGGGTTATTATTTATTGCCTATCAGTTTTAACCACGTGCAAATGAACGTTATGCAAGATGAGAGCATAGGAGAAGCTAGAAGTCTAATCAGTTCTTGAAGAAGGAAAGTGAAATTGTGACATTTGACATTTAAAAATATAATTTTGTAAGCTATAAAGAAGGGGGTGGTGAGAAGTTAGAATAGTGGTTTGCAAACTTGCTGTACAATGGAGTCATCCAAGGATCTTAAAAAAAAAATACACCAGAGATCTGATTCAACTGATTTGGGACATGGCCAGGGCATCAGAATTTTCACCCAATATTTTAACATAACAAATTTCAAAAATGCAATAACATTTTTAAAAATTACAAGTGATATCTATATATCTAGATTCCACCATGAACATTTTACTATACTCGTTTTGATCACATATCTTTTCCTTCCTCCGATCCATCCATCAATCAATCATATTTTTGATGCATATCCAGGTAAACTGCTGACATCAGTATCATTCACCTTAAATACCTCAATATGGATATCACTGAATAGAATTCATAAGGTTTCTTTATTATTATGTTATTATTTACTGTATTTGGTGTCCTCTTTACCTTATGGCCAATTCAAGTAATAACTCTGCAAGGTAGTTATTACTTAGAAGGAAAAAAAGATTCAGAGACATTAAGTCATCTTTTAATGTTCACATGGGAAGTAAAAGGTAGAGTTGGATTCAAATCCAGCTTTCACTTATCCCATAAAACAGTGGTCCCTGACCCTTTTGGCACCAGGAACTGATTTTGTGGAAGACAATTTTTCCGTGGACCGGGTTGGAGGATGGTTTCCATATGATTCAAGTGCATTACAGTTATTGCACACATTATTTATATTATTATCACATTATAATATATAATGAAATAATTATACAACTCACCATAATGTAGATTCAGTGGGAGCCTTGAGCTTCCTTTCCTGCAGCTAGATGGTCCCATCTGGGGGGTGATGGGAGACAGTGACAGATCATGCAGCATTAGATTCTCATAAGGAGCATGCAACCTAGATCCCTTGCATGAGTAGTTCACAATAGGGTTTGTGCTCCTATGGGAATTTAATGTGGCTGCTGATCTGACAGGAGGTGGAGCTCAGGCAGAAATGGAGTGATGAGGAGCAGCTGTAAATACAGATGAAGCTTCCTTCCCTAGCCCGCTGCTGCTCACCTACTGCTTTGCGAATCGGGTCCCTAACAGGCAACGGATTGGTACGGGTCTGTGGCTCTGGGGTTGAGGTACCCTGCCATAAAATACTATATTTTTTTCATTTTTCCAAATGTCTCTAATGCTATGAGGGTAGAAGTGGAAAGGAGTCGAATTAGATATTTAATTTGAAGTCTACCCATTACAATTTTGGAAGGTTAGAGGCCAAAAGGGGGTGTATCTTGTTTTATTTTTTCAACTTTTTCTAACATGACAACTGTTGAAAAATAAGTATCATGTACAAAAGGTAAATAAAAGTGGCCTTCACTTTGTTTTCATTTGGAGTATTTATTCATCTTATAATGCCTTAACATGGATTTTTAACTTAATGAAATCGCCCTTAAATTTGTCATTAACAGACTATTGTTTTAGTTTTAGTGTTTTTTAACTATGAAAATATTGTCATTGTATTAAAAAATAAGAATTTCCAAGTTACAAAATGACAGTGAAAAAAACCAGCCATACCATTCCACCCTCACATAACAGCTATCAGGATGAAGAATAATTTTTCTCTTTATCATTTATTAGTTCTCTAACCTAATTTTTTAAGGAATTCATTTAAAATCATGGTAAAATAAAATGAAAATATAACTAATAAGATAGTATTTGAGGTGATAGGATTTCCTCCTCAGCAATGAAAATCTTACATAATCATTTAAAGACCGGTGAAGTGCTGAAAATCAGACAAAATTACAATGTGAAAATCATCAAGAGGAAACAAGTCTATTTTAAAGGAATGCCAATTAGACTGACAACTTACCGTTCAACAGAAAATATGGAAGCCTGAGAACAATCATGCTATCTTCAATGTGATTAACTGGAATGCTGTTTGGTAGGACATGCCATCCTCAGTTTAACTAGATTATTGCTAAATTACACTCTAAATTGGTTGTACCAACTTAAATTTCTACAAGAATGAGAGTTTGTGACCTTTCACAATCTTATTTTATTTTTTACTTGTTCCAGTCCGATGGGAGTACGTTATCTCACTTAGTACGATATGGTTTGGCAGTGTCCCCACCCAAATCTCATCTTGAATTCCTACATGTTGTGGGAAGGACCTCGTGGGAGGTAATTGAATCATGGGGGCAGGTCCTTCCCATGCTGTTCTCGTGATAGTAAATTAGTCTCATGAGATCTGATGGTTTTATAAAGGGGACTTTCTTTGCCTTCTGCCATTCATGTAAGATGTGACTTGCTCCTCCTTGCCTTCTGCCAAGATTGTGAGGCCTCCCCAGCTGTGTGGAACTGTAAGTCCATTAAATCCTTTTTCCTGTATAAATGACCCAGTCTCATGTATGTCTTTATCAGCAGCATGAAAACCGACTAATATGAAGTAATTTTTCCAATAATAAATGAGAGTTAGCATCTATTCATAAGTGTATTTGACATACAGATGTTCTGTGAACTGTCTATTATTTTTTAAACTTTAAAAATATTTTCCTGTTAGGTTATTTTTATTTTGTTCTATTGATAGGTAAATATTTTTCTTAAATTATGACATAAATCCTTTATTGTTTTAGTATTGCAAATATACTATCTGAGCCTATGTCTTTTCTTTGTTTATGAAGTCTTTGCATTGTACAGGTTTTTAATTAAAATGATCAAATATATGTCTTTTTCTTTACAATTTTTGCTTTGTGCTGTTGCTTAAGGGACACCTCTTTTGCCCTACATGCCCCAAAATATTTTTATATATTTTAATGCTTTGCCTTTCATGTTTAGGCAATCCATCAATTTACCATTTTTATGTTTATGTACAGTGTGAGATAGGGATCTAATTCTTATGTTTAATAAAATTTTAAATGGTACTTCTGTCTGTCATACATGTCATATATTATACTCTTACACAATAAGAATACCACCTCTCAATACATTCGAATACATTAGATTTTTTTTTTCTTGGTAACAAAATTCCTGGAGCACTATTTTCTTCTCCAATCTGTACAGGTTTCTCTCTACAACTGTTATACAGCTGTTGTTACAGGATCTCCTCCACCATCTTTCTGGCACCACTTTGCATCTTCCTCCCACGTTGGGTTCTCTGTTTTCCGGATCCTAGGCTTTGCAGGTAATACTAATGCTCCAATATTTTCCTAATTCTCTTACCTCTCTTAAAAATATTAGTGATTATAATCCCCTGTCCCCTCAGAGTTAGGCATGACCACGTGACTTCCTTTGGATGATGAAGTGAAATGAAAATGACATATATCACTCCTACATAGAGGCATGTAAGAGTCAGTTTAAAATTTTCCACGCATTTTTGACTGACATGGTGAACGCTAAAGCTTCTTATTGTTACGGTAGAATGATAGAATACTAGAGACTGAATCAGCTTAGATTCCTGAGTGACTACAATGATCAGAACCCTTGACTGACTTGTGTTGGATATGTTGCAAAGATACAAAATCAACCTTTGTGTTTCTAGCCACTAATATTTTGGAATTGCTTATTATTGCAGCATAACAAGGCGAATCATGCCTAAAACACTCTCCTTCTGATCTCCAATCACAACTAAACATTCTTTGTCTTTCTTGGTTTCTTTCTTCACTTGGTAGAGTATATTTTTGAAAATAGATTTCTGGGGAAAAAAGGTTTAGGGGAGTACATAAGGCTATCTCTGAAAATTATTTTCTCCGCACAATTTATAGTTTATCAGGGTGTACAATTTATATATTGTTGAATAACAAGTCATTCCAAAATTTAGCAGCTTAAAAACAAAAATGTTTATTATTTGGCAGTTTCTGAAGGTCAAGAATCTGAGAGTGGCTTAGCAGGGTGGGACTGGCATAGCTTATTTTATGAGGTTGTAGTTAAGCTGTTGTCTATGCTTGCAGCCTCTCGAGATTTGTCTGGTGTTAAATGATGCACTTCTAAGCTCATTCTTGTGGCTCTTTGCAGGAGGCCTTAGTTTCTCAGCATACGTGCATCTCCATAGGGCTGCTCATGACATGTGTTCCCACAGAAGAAGCAATGCATGAGAGAGAGAGAGAGAGAGAGAGAGAGAGAAAGAGAGACACAGAGAGAGATAGGCGTGGATGGAGAACACAAGACATAAACCACAGTCTTTCTACAACCTACACTTGGAAATGACATATCATCACAAAAGAGTCACTGAATCTAGTCCACACTCAATGACAGGGACATTTAGCTGTAACTCTTGAATAGAAGAGCATCACAGAATTTGTGAACATAATTTCATATAGGATATGAAATCAAAGCCAAAGTTAATTATTCCTAGAAGTTTAAAGGAAGTGTTCCTTTCTGCTATTTTCCATGGCTATTGCTGAAAAGTCCAAAGCCATTCTGATTTCTGATCTGTGAACTTCTCTTTGTCCTTGTTTTTGTAAAAATTTATGATGATGAGCCTTGGTGTAGATTTTTAGCTCATTTGCTGTGCTGGGCATTTAGTAAGCCCTTTAAACCTGGACACTCATTTTCTTCAGTTCTAAGAAAACTGATGTTGTCACTTCTTTGATAATTTTCTCTCCACAGTTGCCTCTCTTCTGTTTTATTTTTAACATCTATTATTTGAATGTTGGATTACATAGAACAAGGTTTCTAAACATAAACACTATTGACACTTTGAAATGAGTAATTCTTGGTTGTGGATGGCTGCATGGTGCATTCCTCTTGCGTCACTCTTCACAAGAGGCCAGTAGTACATCCTTTCCTTATTTGTGACAACGAAAAAGGTCTCCGTACATTGTCAAACGTCCTCTGCAGGACAAAATCACCTCTATTTGTGAAACACTTACCTAGAATGATCTTCTAAGATTCTTATACTCTCCCATTTTCCATGCTTTTGGCTATTTATACTGCTTTATGAGATATTTCTTCAAATTTATCTTCTACTTTTGAACTTTTATTTCTGCTCTTCATTTTTAATAGACTTGATTTTTTAAAGCAATTTTACATTTATAGCAAAATCGAGGGGAAAGTACAGAGATTTCCCGTATACTCTCTGGCCCCCTTCCTCATTACACACAGCCTACCCCGCTATCAACATCCCACACCAGAGTGGTACATTTGTTATAACTGACTTACATACATTGATATATCATTAACACTCGAAGTCCATAGTTTACATTAGAGTTTGCTTGTGATGTTGTATCTTCTATGGGTTTGGACAAATATATAATGAAAGGTATCCACCATTATAGTATCACACAGAGTAGTTTCATTGCTCTAAAACTGCTATGCATACCATGTATGTTATTCCAGTGGTGGATATACTAAAAGCTCTGCCTTCACCACTATAAAATATATTCATATAACAAAATTACACTGGTAACCCATAAATTTATACAATTAAGAATTTAAAAACTTAACCTGCTATACTATTAATTTAAATAACCCTTATCTTTCTCGGAAATACCACCTTCTATAGTCTCTTGTTCTTTCTTATGAATACAGTGACTAGTCTCACTGTGAGATAATAATTTTATAGCTATCTTTAAAAAGTTTTCTTAAGGTCTATGCCTTGTCTCTCTTTCTGCAGAGATTTCTGTTTCATTTATGTGGCTATTGTTTTTTTCCCAATATTTCTGCTTTTTGTTTTTATGTTGGTTTCTGTCTTCCATCTTTGAGACATGTTCAAATATCTGGAAATCCTTGATTGTCTCTTAAAACTGAGGCATTAAATGCTTTTGGAAATTCCTTGTGCGTATGTAGGGCTTATACTTGGTGGGCTTCAATATATGGTCATTAGGCACAGATCTGGCTATTTCACTGGTGGATCATTACATATCATTAATTGTAGGTTACTATGATCTGAGTGTGTTCTTGCAAAATTTATACGTTGAAATCCTCACCCTCAAGGTGATGACATTAGGAAGTGGGGCCTTTGGAAGGTAATTAGGTCATAAGGCCAAAGCCATCCAGAATGAGAATAGTACCCTTACAAAAGAGGCCCAAGACAGTTCCCTTGGACCTGCTGCCTTGTGAGGTTACAGTGAGAAGACAGGAAATGAGCTTTCACCAGACACCAAACCTGCCAGTGCCTTGATCTTGAACTTCCCAGCCTCCAGAACGGTGAGAAATAAAGGTCTGTTGTTTATAAGGCATCCAGTCTATGGTATTTTGTTATAGCAATAAAACTTGACTAAAAATAGTTTTCGTATTGCAGGTAGGCTCTCAGGAGAATAAATTTATAATCTACTGCCCAGAGGATAGAAACTTAAGAGCCAAGAAGGTGAAGAGGGACTGCTGGTCTCACCATTAAATATGTTGACTTTAACTTAATCCTGTATTTTCAGTATGGTGGCTCTCTCTTCCATCAACTAATCCTGTTGTCCAAATGCCAAAAGTTGTTTCAGCCTCACCAGAAAGCAAACCACTCACTCACGTCTGCTGGGATGAGAGAGGAGTAGTGTCTAATTAACTACCCTGAGCTGGGGACATGAAATGTAATTGCCCCTTTTAAGGGATTCAAAACAACCCCTTTATTTCCAGCCCCTCTCGGGAATATATGGCCTTCTAAAACACCTAGCGTCTTCAATCCACAAGTTTTTCTGGGATCCTGAAAAACAAATTGGCTTACTTGTCCTAATTTTCATCTCATTGACTTGATATGTCTGTGCAGATGTCTCTTCTTCCATTTTATTTGTCATTTTATGACTGTATTGTTTTTATTCCCTTAGCGTAATCTTTGAACAATTTGGGAGAGAGAGAAGATAAATGTATGTTTTCGATTGTCATTTCTATTGGAGGTCCATGTTCACGTTTGTGTCTTGTTCTCTCTCCTCAGGTATCCTCATCTAGCATTTAGTAGTTGCATGTGCATCGCGTCCCGTGGTCTCCAGCCACCCCTTTAAGGTTTAAAGTTCTTGCACTGCAATGTTACTGGGGATAATTTCAATCCATTCATCAAGCAAGAGAACAGATGCAACACAGTTCCCAGCAGCAAGGCTATGTCTTTATTCTTACACCTACATAGGCCCATAAGTTTAGGCAAGCCATAGCGTCAGGCTACAGCCTGAAGAAGCACTTTTTCCCCAGGTTTTCTTTCACGAATGCAAGCACCACAGCCCAGCCTCTGGTTTTGAATACTGAGTTTGTCTCCAGTTCCACACCTTGCTTGAAGCAATTTTAATCCCAACTATCCCGCAGCATCCAAATTCCTGGCTTCCACTGTTGTTTTGTGGTTCAGTGTCAAGTCTGTCAGGGACTTCCGCCCCATTCTCTGCTTTACATTTCTGTAAATATATTTCTGTAAATACACATCATGATTTGATATGTATTTGATTATCTTGTCATCAACATATATTTCTGTAAATACAGTTCTGTAAATATATCCTTTTTTATTTTCTATTTTTTCATTGCTGTATTTTGGGAGCAGATGAGGATAACACTTGGATTAGAAATCTCTAATCATTTTGCATTGGTTTTTATAATAGGTACCAGCATAACGTATATTTTTCCATAAGGCATATACCCAATAGAGGGACCACTATTTTATAGCCTTAAGTGGAAGCTCTGTTATGAGACATATGTGTCTCAACCCAGCCGGTTCTATACAGTTTACAAGACCAGGTAGATCATCATGCTCCCCAGAGAGACCCAAGATAAGATGATTAGGGTTATTTTTCTAGCACATAAAATAGACTTCCTTTTCTGACATGGAGGCCTGAATCCTAACCAAATTTCCTTGGTAACTGCAACAAGAACTGTCTACATATTGTTCCAATTCCACCTTCAGTCCTTCAGGGAACAGTGTCTGGTGTGTGGCCTATGTAACATTACACAGCACTCTGGAGATTCCACAGATCTGCAGGCCTAGTAACAAAAATAGAAGTTCAACTAACCAATCAACCAACAAGGATCACTCTGGGCCACCTAAGTCCTGTTACAGAAGACAAAGTAATGATCAGTCTCATCACTCCCCTCCTTTAAACTTCAGTGTCCTTGGTACTAATAACACTCATGTTGGAAATAAAGCCAATAGAATCATTCTGCATATGCTTTATTACCTGAAATACCACCTTTAACATTACCCTCTGATGACTTTTTAACAGTTAACTTCAATGTCTAGCACGTTGCTATATGTCTATTTTTTTTCAATAATGGAAGCACTAGAAGGGAAATGGCATTATTATGTACACGAAAGATTTATATACAAAGAGTATGTAACTTATTTTATTTGTTAATACTTTTGCTACTTTTCCAAATAAGAAAAGGTAAAACATGCACCCTATAAAATCACATGGAACATTTTGGTTAAAAATGCTTCTGTGTGTTCTAAAACATTATAATACTTCATTTCTTGAGGGTTGGATTCTCTTATCATCAATAATAATATCATGTAGTTAGAACGCATTGGCATAGATATATAATCATTTTATGGGTCCGTGAAATGAGGATAGAATTGGGAGGTCACAATTTTTGTAGCAATATTTTTGTTATTGTTAGTTTTTTTGTGGTACTGAAAAGAAAGCAAGCGAAGAAAGCAAGGAAAGCAAAGGAACGCAAAGGAAAAGGAAAAGGAAAAGGAACAGAAGGAAAGGAAAGGAAGAAGGAAGGAAGGAAGGAAGAAACAAAAGAAAGGAAAGGAAAGCAGAAGTAAAGAAAAGAAAGAAAAAAAGAAAAACCAAGCAAGCAGGCAGACAGGCAGACAGGCAGGCAAGCAAGCTAGTTAAGTAAGATTTTAGATAAGGAAATAAATAGGAATAAATAGGAGATGAAATTATATGATCCTAGGGCTAGGGTAAAGAAAAGAGCAAAAAGGCCATAAAATCTTTCTGTAGCGTAATAATAAAAATAACTTCAAAAGTGCTTGGGTTGATGATAGCCTGACAAGGATTAGCTTGGGTACATACCAATTAAAGACAGCTGGTCTAGAAGCTGGTTTCACATGATGCTACAGTAAACTGGTAAAGCAAGTATTAAAACCTAAGGAACAAACTCTCCTGTGATATTTACTGGCTCAACATCTTAAGGATAAAAGACAATTATATGATGTTAATTAAGACAGTGCTATGCTGGTAAATGTCTAACAATCAGATCCCCTGAGAGGAAGGACATATTTGAATATTCCCAGTATGTTTAATTTTAAGCTATCATTATAATGTCACCAAACATGAAGTTAGCACTACACCATTATACAGTCATTCCATTATACAGGTAACAAACCCGTAGATAATAGTGAAATATAATAAAAGAATTAGGTAGTGATGACTTTTGTGCATCTAGTACATTTGTGAACAATATATTTCATTTAATGTAAGTTACCATAATTTAATTTTTGATAATGGTTGTGTTTAACAGATCTCAAAATTCTTGAAAATTTAACAAGTATTTCCAGCACATCGACTCAAGTTAAACATTAGTTTATCACAATGTACACAAAAGAAGAGGTTCTTATCAGTACCTATCCCATACATCATTAATTTTTCCTATTCTTCTCAGGTATTAGTTTATATAAAATTTTGTTTTCTCTTTGAAAATAAGGAGTCTTGCATTTGTATGAAAATTCTAACAAGAGGAACGAACTTTTTTTTTTTTATTATACTTTAAGTTTTAGGGTACATGTGCACATTGTGTAGGTTAGTTACATATGTATACATGTGCCATGCTGGTGCGCTGCACCCACTAACTCGTCATCTAGCATTAGGTATATCTCCCAATGCTATCCCTCCCCCCTCCCCCCACCCCACCACAGTCCCCAGAGTGTGATATTCCCCTTCCTGTGTCCATGTGATCTCATTGTTCAATTCCCACCCCACCTATGAGTGAGAATATGCAGTGTTTGGTTTTTTGTTCTTGCGATAGTTTACTGAGAATGACGGTTTCCAGTTTCATCCATGTCCCTACAAAGGACATGAACTCATCATTTTTTCTGGCTGCATAGTATTCCATGGTGTATATGTGCCACATTTTCTTAATCCAGTCTATCATTGTTGGACATTTGGGTTGGTTCCAAGTCTTTGTTATTGTGAATAGTGCTGCAATAAACATACGTGTGCATGTGTCTTTATAGCAGCATGATTTATAGTCCTTTGGGTATATACCCAGTAATGGGATGGCTGGGTCAAATGGTATTTCTAGTTCTAGATCCCTGAGGAATCGCCACACTGACTTCCACAATGGTTGAACTAGTTTACAGTCCCACCAACAGTGTAAAAGTGTTCCTATTTCTCCACATCCTCTCCAGCACCTGTTGTTTCCTGACTTTTGAATGATTGCCATTCTAACTGGTGTGAGATGATATCTCATAGTGGTTTTGATTTGCATTACTCTGATGGCCAGTGATGGTGAGGATTTTTTCATGTGTTTTTTGGCTGCATAAATGTCTTCTTTTGAGAAGTGTCTGTTCATGTCCTTCGCTCACTTTTTGATGGGGTTGTTTGTTTTTTTCTTGTAAATTTGTTTGAGTTCATTGTAGATTCTGGATATTAGCCCTTTGTCAGATGAGTAGGTTGCGAAAATTTTCTCCCATGTTGTAGGTTCCCTGTTCACTCTGATGGTAGTTTCTTTTGCTGTGCAGAAGCTCTTTAGTTTAATTAGATCCCATTTGTCAATTTTGGCTTTTGTTGCCATTGCTTTTGGTGTTTTGGACATGAAGTCCTTGCCCATGCCTATGTCCTGAATGGTAATGCCTAGGTTTTCTTCTAGGGTTTTTATGGTTTTAGGTCTAATGTTTAAATCTTTAATCCATCTTGAATTGATTTTTGTATAAGGTGTAAGGAAGGGATCCAGTTTCAGCTTTCTACATATGGCTAGCCAGTCTTCCCAGCACCATTTATTAAATAGGGAATCCTTTCCCCATTGCTTGTTTTCCTCAGGTTTGTCAAAGATCAGATAGTTGTAGGTATGTGGCGTTATTTCTGAGGGCTCTGTTCTGTTCCATTGATCTATATCTCTGTTTTGGTACCAGTACCATGCTGTTTTGGTTACTGTAGCCTTGTAGTATAGTTTGAAGTCAGCTAGTGTGATGCCTCCAGCTTTGTTCTTTTGGCTTAGGATTGACTTGGCGATGCGGGCTCTTTTTTGGTTCCATATGAACTTTAAAGTAGTTTTTTCCAATTCTGTGAAGAAAGGCATTGGTAGCTTGATGGGGATGGCATTGAATCTGTAAATCACCTTGGGCAGTATGGCCATTTTCACGATATTGATTCTTCCTACCCATGAGCATGGAATGTTCTTCCATTTGTTTGTATCCTCTTTTATTTCCTTGAGCAGTGGTTTGTAGTTCTCCTTGAAGAGGTCCTTCACATCCCTTGTAAGTTGGATTCCTAGGTATTTTATTCTCTTTGAAGCAATTGTGAATGGGAGTTCACTCATGATTTGGCTCTCTGTTTGTCTGTTGTTGGTGTATAAGAATGCTTGTGATTTCTGTACATTGATTTTGTATCCTGAGACTTTGCTGAAGTTGCTTATCAGCTTAAGGAGATTTTGGGCTGAGACGATGGGGTTTTCTAGATAAACAATCATGTCGTCTGCAAACAGGGACAATTTGACTTCCTCTTTTCCTAACTGAATACCTTTTATTTCCTTCTCCTGCCTGATTGCCCTGGCCAGAACTTCCAACACTATGTTGAATAGGAGCGGTGAGAGAGGGCATCCCTGTCTTGTGCCAGTTTTCAAAGGGAATGCTTCCAGTTTTTGCCCATTCAGTATGATATTGGCTGTGGGTTTGTCATAGATAGCTCTTATTATTTTGAGATATGTCCCATCAATACCTAATTTATTGAGAGTTTTTAGCATGAAGGGTTGTTGAATTTTGTCAAAGGCTTTTTCTGCATCTATTGAGATAATCATGTGGTTTTTGTCTTTGGCTCTGTTTATATGCTGGATTACATTTATTGATTTGCGTATATTGAACCAGCCTTGCATCCCAAGGATGAAGCCCACTTGATCATGGTGGATAAGCTTTTTGATGTGCTGCTGGATTCGGTATGCCAGTATTTTATTGAGGATTTTTGCATCAATGTTCATCAAGGATATTGGTCTAAAATTCTCTTTTTTGGTTGTGTCTCTGCCCGGCTTTGGTATCAGAATGATGCTGGCCTCATAAAATGAGTTAGGGAGGATTCCCTCTTTTTCTATTGATTGGAATAGTTTCAGAAGGAATGGTACCAGTTCCTCCTTGTACCTCTGGTAGAATTCGGCTGTGAATCCATCTGGTCCTGGACTCTTTTTGGTTGGTAAGCTATTGATTATTGCCACAATTTCAGCTCCTGTTATTGGTCTATTCAGAGATTCAACTTCTTCCTGGTTTAGTCTTGGGAGAGTGTATGTGTCGAGGAATGTATCCATTTCTTCTAGATTTTCTAGTTTATTTGTGTAGAGGTGTTTGTAGTATTCTCTGACGGTAGTTTGTATTTCTGTGGGATCGGTGGTGATATCACTTCTGTTAACTCTACAAGTCAAACCTGAAATCATGGCTCACAACCAGCACCACCTAATGTCAGGCATTGGAATTGCATATGTAGAGCCCAGAATTGGTTTTCCACGTACTTCAGAGTCAAATGTGAAGCTAAATGCACACACACCCACACACCCTACAGATATGGCCAGGACCCACCCCAGACCAAATAACCAGGATATCTAATTTATTTTTATAGCCATGTAGGTAATTTAAATTCAGTTGTTGAACCAAGTTTGAAAACGATTGTCAAAGAAAGAGGTATTACTGTAATTCTGATTTTAAAATTTTACATCATGAAAATCTTCAAAGACATATATAAGTAAAGAGAACAGTATATTATGGACCCCCATGCACCTGTCACCACCTTGAGCAATTATCAACATTTGCGAATCTTGTTTAATCTTCCTCCATTGCTCTTTATATTAAAAATAATTTCCTTGGAAGTTTGTCAAAACAAAACCCACGAATCACATTACTTCACCTGAAAATACTTTGGCATGTATCTAGAATTTCTCTTTAAATAGCACAATCTATTATAGTAGCAATAAATGCCAAAAATCGTTAAGTATTTCTTTTAAATATTGAGCCAGATATGATGGTAGTTGCTGCAGATGTGAAAAACCTTAGTGACAATTATTTTTTAATTTTATCTTACATAAAGCCAGTTAGATTCAGAGACACATTTGGTCAAACTTTGTCCTTGACATATAAATAGTGTTTCTTTCCTAAACTTTCCATTATCTGGTTAATTTCTCCTAAACTTTCCATTATCTGGATAATTTCTCCTCATTTTTTAGAACTCAATTCAAGGATCATCTCACCCGGATCCTTCCAGACTGAGACCCCCAAACTGTGTTAGACAGTCCTGCTTTGGTATATGCCTAGCTCCCAAGGCAGACATGAACTGAGGACTCGTCACTGTGCATTAAAACTGTGAGTTCATAATTCCTTTCTGTATATATAAATACAGAAATCAGGGTTTATATGTTATTCAGTTTTATATTTCTAGCCCTCAGAATCATAGTAGGGTCACACTAATCTTTGTTGAATGAATAATGAGTCTATGAATGACCAGTTTGACAGAGTTTAAGTGTGGATGTCAAGGATAAATGAAGAAATTAGCCAAGTCTGCTAATATGAAGATGTATATTTAAATGAGAAGATTTTATAATCTTACACTTTCATAATTATGACCACATTGATTTGAAGGTTTTATGAAGAGAAAGAGGTTATACTAATTATTTGAGCTGTTTCTTTTCATAAGTGATTGTGGTCAGCCAAAATTAAACAATGATGCTACGAAGAAAGATTAAGGAAGGATATTATCAAACAGCCCCAAACCTGCCAGTCCTTCATGGTTTCACTGTAAATGCTCAGGTACAGCCAATACTTATATATGAATTTTAATAATCAATATTTAATGAAAATGCCGTTCTTAAATTTATCTCATATTTGTGGTAGAGGAGATTTACAAAAAAGGCATTGTTAACATTAGTTAAAACACTTATACAACTGTTGTTAAATAAAACTTCTGAAGTCATATAGTTATTTATTTACTTGTATAAACCATCTTATCATATTCTTTTTTGGAGCTGTTTACATATCTTTTAATCTCTGAACTAAGAAATTAAAATTGTATTTGACAACAATTAGTGACTCAAATTATAATTAAAATATATGTTGTTACACACCTCGACAAGCAAGCACTCAGAAACCCACTTTATATTCTGTTTCTATTAGGATACTAATTATGGCACTATTCCAAAAAAAAAAACAAAGAAACAAAGTAATTAACTCATTGCAAACACAATACTATTAATTTTAACTCCTTGGTTCTCAATAAAATTTGAGCTAGTAACCACGTAATTAATTATTAATTGCTCAGTGCACTCCACTATGCCAAGTTAATTATCAAGAATAACTTGGTGTGACTTTTATTATGAATGGATAATTACAACCTTGTTTTTCTAGAATTATCAGGATTTTAAACATGAAAATAATAATGAAGGTAAAGATATAGGCATTGCTCTTAAATATGCTGATATGCTAATCATTATGAAATAATAGGATGTTCATTTTTATAATAGTATCATTCTTATATAGGGACCAAGACAGGATAGAAAAGTACTTAGAAAGTACTAAGCTAAACAAATAAGTTAACAAAGGATGAATCTTTTATATATAATGATATATATTCGTGAAGTGAAAGGCCAATTCTTAGTTAGACATTAGTTTTATTCCAGCCTAGGAGAATTCTCATTCATTCCCATGCTCTACCATAAGAATTACAAATATCTAAGTACATGTATGTATAAACATTTGCTGAACCTATTTTGGTTATGCATTAAATAATCTTTAAATGTGAACACAACAGTAAAACATATGTTTTGTTTTCATCAATTTTATTTCAGTTACTGAGTCAGAACTGCCCAACTGAATAAAGTTTTGTAAACATATAGCTTTATAGTTCCTTAAATCTAAATCTACTCTAATTTTCAAAGCACAAAAAAATACAAAGCTTATCAAATATCCTACTAAAATGTTCCTTTGAATCTATGGTCTCCCATTTGTTTGGTGATCAAGAGCTACTGTTCATAATTTCAAAGAATCTTGAAATAACAAAGTGGAAAAGTGCTTGAGGAAGAGACCAGGATACACTGACAAGTAGCTCAGAGTGCTAATGGCAAGGGTCAGAATCATAGCTGTATTATGCCTATTTTACTTATGAGAAAATTGAGGTTCAGCTAAAACTTGCCAAAAATTCACACAATCAGAGATTGATGGAGCCACGATTCAAACTCAGGTCAATCTAATTCCAAAGCCAAGCTCTTAACTGTGTCTGAGACTCACTTATCCCTGGAAAAGCTACAAATCTGGCTTTCTCCTGTCAATATTCGACACAAAATGAAGGCAACCTTTATACAAGTGGCTTTTATTTCTTTCTATTCTTGTCCTTGGTTCAAGGATCGAACACTCAAGGAGACCTAAATATTTTGGAATAGGAGCCAGGATAACCTGTCCTCAGAGATGCTTCCTTGGCTGCATCACCTAGCCATAAGTACTCCCTTTTTGCAGGAAAACTTGCAACCCTAGAACCATACCATACCAAACTTCCTTCATTTTCTGATTAAAACTATTTTGTACATAATGTCCCACTTTTTTTGCATCACAAACGCCTTGAACCATTAAGTACACAAGTATATTCCTGGGAAGATGAATTAAGGTCTTCATCTTGTTCTTAGAAAGTATGTGTTTATTTTCTGATAGCAGAAATAATAATACTTTATAGTTTTATAGAATCTTCTCAATGGAGGATTTTTAGGAGCTTCACATGTATATTACTGATTGCGGAGTGTTTTTATTGCATATATCTCAGTGGGAGTATTGGAAATGGGTTTTTCAACATTTAAATATATGCCATTTAAAAAATCCCACTTCCTCTTCTGCTTACAATCTATTCTCTGTCTTCAAAGTGATAATATTCACTTAATGTCGACTTTGGAAACACATAATAAAAATGGTAAATGTGGATTTTCCTCACTCTCTTTTTAGCTAATATTGTGGCAAATGTCTTCTTCCCTTTGTAAGCAATATTTTCTCTCTTTTCTATTAAGCTTTATTTGCCTAGTTTAGCAGGTTTTATTTTTCTCCTGCTTATCGTATTCCTATCCATGCGGGTCAAAAGGAAATTAATGAGCTCTTGTTTCCTCTGACACAAAACATTTTTCTTGGTACACAGTTCTGCCTCCCCAGTGTTTTCACTCTGGACATGACGGAAACAGTGAAAAGCAATAGGAGATGGGAGAAGGCATTGCATTCGCAATCAACATATGGTCAGCCACTTCCAATGAGTTTTCAGCACTGATGAACACTATCACTGCTGTCTTAAGCTTATGCTGGTGTCCATTACTGTCCACTGGCTGCTTTGTGAAACTACATCTCCTGGCTTTCTTCATACCTCGATGGTTTTTGTGCTCCTTTTCAGGGTTATTCCTTACCCAGTCACTAAATGCATTAAAAGTACCTCATAAAACAGGATGACTTCATGTCCTTTGCAGGGACATGGATGAAGCTGGAAACCATCATTCTTAGCAAACTAACACAGGAACAGAAAATGAAACACTGCATGGACTCACTCGTAAGTGGGAGTGGAACAGTGAGAACACATGGACACAGGGAGGGGAACAACACACACTGGTGCCTGTTGGGGGTGGGGGGCTAGGGTAGGGATAGCATTAGGAGAAATACCTAATGTAGATGACGGGTTGATGGGTGCAGCAAACCACCATAGCACGTGTATACCTATGTAACAAACCTGCACGTTCTGCACCTGTATCCCAGAACGTAAAGTATAATAATAATTAAAAAAAAAAGTTCCTCAAAGATTTGTCCTGATCAATCTTCTACCTACAGTCTCTCTTTAGGTTATTGCACCCACTCACATAACTTTAAATATTATTTACATGCCTAGGTATCCCACGTATGTATCTTGGTCACAGATATTTCATCCACGTTTCATGTAGATGTTTCAGATGTATCTCAAATTGAATATAAATCTAGAAAGGTCTCCACCTCCAAATCTGCCCCTTCTTTTCTGTTCTCCAGCTCAATATTATCTAATATGCTCAGGGATCATCCCTGACACTTCACTGTCTTTCAACTCCACTTTCAAATCTGTCAAAAGTTGCTACTAATAGCTCCATTAACATAAGTATCAAAGACATGTTTATTTCCACTTCCATTGCCATCTCAAGGCTTGGTCTATGCTTTGGTATTCTAAGTGGCCATTCTGTTTTCAGGGAGGTTCCCTAAAGTACATTGTTTTCAGCAAAAACAATGATTATGTCACTACCTTGCTGGGTGAGGTGGCTCATATCTGTAATCCCACCATTTTAAGAGGATGAGGCGGGAGGATTGCTTGGGCCCAGTAATCCAAGATCAGCCTTAGAAACTTAGAAACGTAACAAGACCCTGTCTCTTCAAAATAATTGTTTAAAGTTAGCCAGGCATAGTGGCAAATGCCTGTAGTAGTCCCAGCTACCCAGGAAGCTGAGGTAGGAGGGTGATATGGGAGGATTGCTTGAGCCCAAGGAGTTCAAGGCTGCAGTGAGCCGTGATCATGTCACTGCACTCCAGCCTGGGCAACAGAGTGAGATTGTGTCTTGAAATAAATAAATAAGTAAAACAAAATTTAAGAATCAAAAAATAAACTTGTAATGGTTTTCCGTTGCACTTAGATAAAATCTATACTTATTTTTGTGGCCTACAATGACTTGTACAACGTAAAACTTGCCACGCTCTCCCTCTCTCACCATACCCCATACACAAGGGCTTTCTTTTAGAATTTCGAACATTCCAAGATCTCTACCAACATCTCAAGACTTTGTTCATGTGACTCCCTACACTCTTTACTGAGTTGCAGGTCTCTGCTTCAATACTTTTCCTCACAGATAATTACTCTCAGTCTCTAGACTGCAGCATTTCTTTTTGTTAGAATATCTCATAGCTCCTTATACTTTTCATTCATAGCACCTACTGCGGCTTGTAAATATACACTCATGTATATGATTATTGCCTTAAAATACATTTTCCCCCACTAAACATTCAGCTCCAAAAAGGCAGAAACAATGTGTTCTTTGTTAATTTCTGTAGAGTTTTTGAGACAGGATCAGAATTACTATATGTTGAATAAATGAATACAGAAATAAAAATAAAGATTATGATGCCTTTGCTCACTGATATATAGTGCCATATATATATATATATAAACATATATAAATAAATATATAAATATGTGTATATATAAATATATATAAATACAAATATATAAATATATATATATAAATATATAAATATATATATAAATATATATAAATATATAAATATATATAAATATATAAATATATATATAAATATATATAAATATATAAATATATATAAATATATATAAATATATATAAATATATATATAAATATATATAAGTATATAAATATATATAAATATATATAAATATATAAATATATATAAATATATAAATATATAAAAATATATATAAATATATATAAATATATACATAAATATATATAGATATATAAATATATATATACATAAATATATATAAATATATATATGTTTGTGTGTGTATATATATTTATATTCAACGGTAAATGGTTTATAAAACTTTCCCGATCGATTAAGTATTGGTATGGAGTCAGAGAAGTGAGGGAAAACAGTTTTATCTACCATCTTTGAGATATCATGGTGAGATTTAAGGATACAGAGATTAAATATATTGTCCAGGTCTTTAAGAACCTCATAGACAGAGTTTATGTGTGACTCTAAAAAATAGATGAAGATAAGAAGATAAGTATTTAAATGAAAAAATTGAGGCGGCCAAGGGTTTGGGGAGCTTATGACTGTCTTTAACCCTATCGACACTAAGAGAATAGAAGTTGCTTACTAACTGGTCACTTAGCTGACTGAAACAGCTTCTCTCTTTGTAGGAAGTTTAAGTTCCACAATTACTCGGTGCCAAAAAATACTGTGTGCTATTCAAATTTCTGGAGGATGAAAAGCTACATAGGGCATATGGCAGAACGATGTAAAGTGCAGAATATGCTTAGCTGAAGATTGTCCCAAAGCTCTTGGGAGATGTTTATTTGGTGACAATCGCATTCACTTTATATTGTCAGCCCTTTGTTAGATCATCCTTACTCATCAGGGTCTGATCCTTGCTTTAATTGTACTTAGGGAATTATTTATCTCTATATCAATCTAAAATTGATTTAATCTTTTTTTTTTTTTTTTGAGATGTAGTCTCGCTCTGTCACCCAGGCTGGAGTGCAGTGGCGTGATCTTGGCTCACTGCAACCTCCGCCTGCTGGGTTCAGGAGATTCTTCTGCCTCAGCCTCCCAAGTAGCTGGGACTATAGGCGTGCACCACCAAGCCCGGCTAATTTTTGTATTTTTAGTAGAGACAGGGTTTCACCATATTGGCTAGGCTGTTTTCGAACTCCTGACCTCATAATCTGCCCGTCTCAGCCTCCCAAAGTGCTGCGATTACAGGCGTGAGCCACCACGCCTGGTCAATTGATTTTGTCTTACACAATTTTCTCTTCTGGGCATCACTATCGTTCATCCTCATCTTCTTTTTCCTCTATGTTTAAAAATGAAAACTCTTCTGCAAAAGAGTTTATTAAAGCTTATTTATTCTTTGTTTGTTTTTGAGACAGAGTCTTGCTCTGTTGCCCAGGCTGGAGGGCAGTGGCATGATCTTAGCTCACTGCAACCTCCGCCTCCTGGGTTCCAGTGATTCTCCTGCCTCAGCCTCCCAAGTAGCTGGGATTACAAGCATGCGCCAACACGCCTGGCCAATTTTTGTATTTTTAGCAGAGATGGGGTTTCACCATGTTGGCTGGGCTGGACTCTAACTCCTGGCCTCAAGTGATCTGCCCACCTCGGCCTCTCAAATTGCTGGGATTACAGGCGAGAGCCACCACACCTGGCCTATTCTTTTTTGTTTTATATAAGAAGTGTAGCATATAATAATGTGTGGTGGTGTGGTAGAGATAAGAAGTGGTTTTTGAAAAGGAAAATGATCACATATACATTATTCACTTGCTAGTTATGCTTACTGGGTATCTACTTGGCCAAACAATGAATCAAGTAACGAAAATGTAACTGTCATTCTAAAGAAGTTCACAGTGTGTATGTTGTTTGTACATGTACAGAGTCATAGAGGTGAGAGAGATGGAGAAAAGTGATTTAATAAGTAAGTACACAAATAACAAATAACATGATTCATAATGTGAAGGGTGTTTATATCCACAATGGAAATGGAAATTGGTGAGTACCAATTTTTATTAGATGTTACCCACCATTGCATTACATGCAATTGTTCCATCTTAACCATATCAGCTGCACTAAACATGGCTCATTACTGCTCACTAATAGGAATACAGATTTATATCAGCAATTTGGGCACATGGGCTTGTCTTTTTTAACTGTGGGAAAATATACAAAATATTTCAACCATTGTAAGTGTATACAGTTCAGTGGCATTAGATACATTCACATGGATATGTAAACATCACCACCATCTATCTCCAAAACTCTTCATCTTTCTAAACTGAAACTCTATACCAATGACACAAGAACTGCTCATTTCCCCTACCCCTCCCTGGTCCCTGGCAACCATGCAACTATTTGTCTAAGAATTTAACTACTCTAGGTGGAATATCTCCAAAGTTCATCCCTATTTTAGGATGTGACAGAATTTCATTCCTTTTTAAAGCAGAATACTGTTCTGCTGTATGGATACACCACGTTTTGTTTCTCCATTCTTGGTCAGTGTACACAGTGTACATTTGTTTCTACCTTTTCTCTACAGTAAAATATGCTGCTATGAACTTGGGTGTACAAATATCTGTGTGAATACCTGTTTTCAATTATTTTGGGTATATACCCAGAAGTGGAATTATTGGATCATATAATAGTTCTTTGTTAAATTTTATTTTAAGAACTAGTCTTGTAGTTTAAAAATAAAGTTTTATTGGAATATAATCACACTCATTCATTTACATATTGTCTATGGTTGCTTTTGCAAAAAAAAAAAAAAATGGCAGAGTTTAATAGTTGTGAGATAGACCATATGGCCCGCAAAGCCTATAATATTTACTATCTTGTTCCTTACAGAATAAGTTTGCTAACTTCTGTCTTACAAAATTGCAGTAGCAATTCCTTGGTTTCACATGAAACATATGTCTTCAAACAGTTAAAAGACCTTTCATGTTGGGAAATAGAAACAGGATAATTTTATTCTCGGCCTACATATGAGAAAACAAGGAAAGTGCTGAATGCCACATGGAAGTTGCAATCTCAAAGGAAGTTAATCCAATATTAATATCCAGACCTCATTGTTGCAGCTAAATCTATCTCATCACAAATCACAGAGTTATTTTACTTCTTTATATGCTATATAGAAAACTCAGATATACTTTCCCTATATCAATGCGATGTTTCATGCTTTCTTCTTTTATTGAAGATGGGGTGGGAATACTGCATCAAGTGAGAGACTTGAGTCTGGGAGAGGCTGAGTTGTATAACTGTGAAATCATTTGTCCTCCAAAAGCTTGGATTTAAAATATAACAGATTCACGTACTATGTATGACTGAAAACATACTTGCCTGGAATGTTAAAGATCAGGGTAATTTTCTGTCTCGTTAATCTAATATTGACAGTGGAGTATAAAAGTCTCTCACTATTACTGTGTAGGAGTGTAAGTCTCTTTGTAGGTCTCTAGGAACTTGCTTTACGAATCTGGGTGCTCCTGTATTGGGTGCATATATATTTAGAATAGTTAGTTCTTCTTGTTGCGTTGCTCCCTTTACCATTATGTAATGTAATACCCTTCTTTGTCTTTCTTGATCTTTGTTGGTTTAAAGTCTGTTTTATCAGAGACTAGGATTGTAACCCCTGTTTTTTTTTTTATTTTTTTTAATTTTTTATTTTTTTGCTTTCCATTTGCTTGGAAAATATTCCGCCATCCCTTTGCTTTGAGCCTATGTGTGTGTTTGCATGTGAGATGGGTCTCCTGAATACACCACACTGATGGTCCTGACTCTTTATCCAATTTGCCAGTCTGTGTCTTTTAATTGGGGCATTTAGCCCATTTACATTTAAAGTTAATATTGTCATGTGTGAATGTGATCCTGTAATTATGATGTTGGTTAGTTATTTTGCCTGTTAGTTGAGGCAGTTTCTTCATAGGGTCGATGGTCTTTACAATTTGGTATGTTTCTCTCAGTGGCTGGTACCGGTTTTTCCTTTCCATGTTTAGTGATTCCTTCAGGAGCTCTTGTAAGCCAGGCCTGGTGGTGACAAAATCACTCAGCATTTGCTTGTCTGTAAAGGATTTTATTTCTCCTTTGCTTATGAAACTTAGTTTGGCTGGATATGAAATTCTGGGTTGAAAATTCCCTTATTGAAGAGTGTTGAATATTGGCACCCACTCTCTTCTAGCTTGTAGGGTTTCTGCAGAGTGATCCACTGTTAGTCTGATGGGCTTCCCTTTGTGGGTAACCCAGCCTTTCTCTCTGGCTGCCCCTAACATTACGAGCAACTTCAGCCAAGTCTCAGAATACAAAATCAAAGTGAAAAGATCACAAGCATTCCTATACACCAAGAATAGACAAACAGAGAGCCAAATCGTGGGTGAACTCCTATTCACAATTGCTACAAAGAGAATAAAGTGCCTAGGAATACAACTTACAAGGGATGTGAAGGACCTCTTCAAGGAGAACTACAAACCACTGTTCAAGAAAATACGAAAGGACGCAAACAAATGGAAAAAACATTTCATGCTCGTGGTTAGGAAGAATCAGTGGAGTGAAAATGGCCATACTGTCCAAATTAATTTACAGATTCAATGCTATCCCCAACAGGCTACCACTGACTTTCTTTACAGAATTAGGAAAAATTACTTTACATTTCAGATGGAACCAAAAAAGAGCTTGTATAGCCAAGACAATCCTAAGTAAAATGAACAAAGCTGGAGGCATCATGCTACCTGACTTCAAACTATACTACAAGGCTACAGTAAGCAAAACAGACTGGTACTGGTAGCAAAACAGATATATAGACCAATGGAACAGAACAGAGGCCAGAAAAATAATGCCACACATCTACAACCATCTGATCTTTGACAAACCTGACAAAAACAAGCAACGGGGAAAGGATTCCCTATTTAATAAATGGTGTTGGGAAAACTGGCTAGTCATATGCAGAAAACGGAAACTGGACCCCTTCCTTACCCCTTATACAAAAATCAACTCAAGATGCATTAAAGACTTAAACCTAAAACCGAAAACCATCAAAACCCTAGAAGAAAACCTAGGCAATACCATTCAGGACACAAGTACGGGGAAAGACTGCATGACTAAAACACCAAAAGCAACAGCAACAAAAGCCAAAATTGACAAATGGGATCTAATGAAACTAAAGAGCTTCTACACTGCAAAAGAAACTATCATGAGAGTGAACAGGCAAACTACAGATTGGGAGAAAATTTTTGCAATCTATACATCTGACAAAGGGCTAATACCCGGAATCTATAAGGAACTTAAACAAATTTACAAGAAAAAAAAAAACCCATCAGAAAGTGGGCTAAGGATATGAACAGACACTTCTCAAAACAAGACATTTATGCAGCCAGCAAACATATCAAAAAAAGCTCATTATCACTGGTCATTAGAGGAATGCAAATCAAAACCACAATGAGATACCATCTCACACCAGTTAGAATGGCGAACATTCAAAAGTCAGGCAACAACAGATGCTGGAGAGGATGTGGAGAAAAAGGAACGCTTTTACACTGTTGGTGGGACTGTAAACTAGTTCAACCATTGTGGAAGACAGTGTGGCGATTCCTCAAGGATACAGAACCAGAAATACCATTTGACCCAGCAATCCCATTACTGCATATATACCCAAAGTATTATAAATCATTCTCCTATAAAGACACATGCACACGTATGTTTATTGCAGCACTATTTACAATAGCAAAGACTTGGAACCAACCCAAATGCCCATCAATGATAGACTGGATAAAGAAAATTGGCACATATACACCATGGAATACTATGCAGCCATAAAAAAGAATGAGTTCATGTCCTTTGCACGGACATGGATGAAGCTGGAAACCATCATTCTCAGCAAACTAACACAGGAACAGAAAACCAAACACCACATATTCTCACCCATAAGTGGGAGTTGAACGATGAGAACACATAGACACAGGGCGGGGAACATCACACACCGGGGCCTCTCAGGGGATGGGGGGTTAGGGGAGGGATAGCATTAGGAGAAATACCTAATGTAGATGATGGGTTGATGTGTGCAGCAAACCACCATGGAACGTGTACACCTATGCAACAAACCTGCCCGTTCTGCACGTGTGTCCCAGAACTTAAAGTATAATAATGAAAAAAAGATCAGGGTAAAATATATTTTGTCATTGTTTTGAACATAGCCATAGGTAGGATCATAAAATAGCACAACTTAAATAGAAAAATAAATGATTCAGAATCAGGTCTCAGGTACAAACAGCCAAAATAATTCAATGAAATTATTTCTCTATACTACAAATTGTGGACTCACATGGCATCATATCTGATATAAATAATAGTTTATTTTAAATGAATATAGACAGGAGTGGCTGGAAACTAAAAGCATGTATTTCTTCTCCATAAGATGAAAGAGGATTTAGGATACACTTAAGATAACATACTAAATCTTGTTTTGCCAGTGTAGCTTCTGCTTGGCATTTAAATATCTGTTACTTAATAGAAACATTCAATTTTGGACCCTAAAATATCACACAATATTATTCATTAAAATTATACCTACTCAAATCTGTCTAGCCATATCATATAGCGACTGATATTTTTAGATCAAACCCACAAGTGTGAAATATTTTTCATTTTAAAGACTCTTTTACATTTAATATGTATTCATGCTAACTTTTTAAATTTAAAGCACCTTCTATGAAATGTATTTTAATACAAATACCCTATATTGTATAATTTACTTCAACGTTGTAAATTTTCCACGACGATGTGTATCATTCACAAATAATATGAAATATAAAAATTCACTTAAACATATATAAAATTATTGGTATATTTACTTTGTACTAAATGTAATGGGATTTGATATTATTATATTAAATTTATATTCATGATGAATATAAGTAAACATTGAGTAAGAAATGTTTTAAGAAATTTGCTATCTGCATGAATGACTATTCAATACATTTTTATTGAACATCCATCGAGTTCGTTGCGATGAATACAGTTTTAGAAAAAATACTAATACTCTGGCTTCGAAGACTGCTATGTATTGAAGGTCTACAATGCTTTGAATGCTGTAGGAAGACAAGATAAATTAGGACTTTTGATCACCGTCCCATAAAAGCTTATAATTTGTCTAATAAGGAATAGCCAACAATTATTACAATAGGAGACAGTAAAAATAAGTAGAATGCAATGTTCCAGATGTTCAGAGGAGTTGGAGATCATCTCCTTATGGGTTGGTCAAGAGAGCCTTAATGGAAAATGTAGCATCTGAGCAGGGCATGGAAGGATCATTTAGTGGATATTCCTCTGTCCCAAAATTTTTTGTCTGTCCAATATCCCTTCTGTGGTGAAGAAAATTAGTACTCTTTGGATATCTTGGTATTGATTTCATTATGTTTCTCATGTTCCCTTGAGGTTTCGTGAGTGCAATTGTGATTGAATCCTGGAAAGTGGGAAAGTGTAGGAAGTGATGCATCACTTCTTGCCTGAGGTACTTGATAGTTAGTGTCAATTTCTCAGCTCTCCTTTGTCAATACCTCTGAAGTTTCAATGTTGACATGGCAGAGCCACAAGATGAAAGCAATTTAGGTCCCTGAGTCACTGTGAAGGAATGCTACCTGATTTATATCAGACTTTATATGAGCAATAAATAAGCATTCATTAGGCCACTTTGATTTCAGGGTTAGTTTTTTTGTGGCATCTAACATTAATTGTTCTGAATAAGTATCTCCACTCTTTGGTGAATGGTACCCTGCTTTTCCTTGGATGAAATTACTCTTCCCTCATTCTGCATGATCTTAGGGGGACCTATAATCATAGTGCTCTGTAAACTCTATAAACTGGTGGGACAAGTTCCTAATTTATGCCAATTACATTTAGAAATTTGAATCTAGAATTGAGAAAGGTAGAGTCAGTACAATTTGAAGCTGAAGCATTTTAATGACAGCATCCAAAAAGTAACTTCCCTGGAGTTCCTGACTCTCAGTGCTGCCCTCCCTCTGCCACAGTTGCCTTCTTTTCCTTCATTTCCAAGAACTATACATTATCCCTCCAGTAAGTTTCATTTCACTTCAGTTAAATGGAGATGGCTTCTGCTTCTTCGAATCAAAGCTTCCTAATGTTTACAGGTGGTGAGGACTTTTATATATAAAATTACACTCCAAAGAAGTATGGAATAAGGGTATTTTAGAGAAAATAAGTACATTTTGCTGTAGAGTTGCATAGAGATACAAGTGACAGAAGCTAAGTTAGGGTTTATAAGTGCCAGACTATGAATTCTGGATGTTAGCCTCTGGCCTAGGAGGTTAGAAAATCAAATGCCTTCAGGGGACACGTGGGACACATAAAATTGTAAAGCCTTAGAAAGTATAGCAATAAGTGCTAAACTGATGGTGTTGATCAGTCCAGTCTCTGCCCGGTTTCATTGCCTTTTAATGTTCCTTGCAGGTCAAACAAAGCAGCCAAGCAAAACATATCCTTCAGCTCTCTTTTCTCCTGGGGCTACCCGTTTGAAATCAAAGCTATCAACAGAGAAACACTGAAGGTTCCTGTGCTGGGAAATGTGAAGCAGGAGTGCTGCTTCAGAAAGGTTAACTCTTTCAAAAGAAACAGTGATTTGGGTGGAGAGAGATCTCTTACAAGGTATCTACTGACTTGCGATTGATGTCCAGGAGAATGAAAAGGGAGGGCATGAAAACATAAAAAGTGTACAGAATCCAGTAAATGGCAAAATATTCAATTAAAGTGCAGGGAGGTATAAAGAAAGGACAACACATGTTTTAATCTGAGGACATTATAAGAAATAATGGTGGTATGTTCTTGGAATTGAGAAGCCTAACTAAGTCACAGGTTATAGGAATCAAAGTGGTGGTGCTATTGACTTGGTAAATTTAAGAGAACTTTATAAAATTTGTGAATTCGTTATTTCTTTATCTTAAATGCAATAGCACTAATGCCTCAAAAGAACAACCTACAAATGTCTACCCACAGAAGTTATACAGGCTATTTTGTTTCAATGAATGGCTGGCCCGAGAAAATGGTTGCACTCAAGAGAGAATGTTTGCGACTGTTTTTGGAAATTCTTCTGTGGGTTGGGTAATAATACACTCAAGAGACATGTTTGTGATTTTTCTGGGAAATTTTTTCGTGGAGTGGGTAATAAATAGAGCAGAATATTAGGTGAGAAATACTCAATTTCAGGACTAGTTATTTTAAACTGTTGTAAATTATAATATTAAATTATAAAATTTAAACATTGTGAATATGTTCTTTTTCTGTACTCAGGTATTAAATCAAATATTTTTGGGTAATTAGTGGAAGGTGAGCTTATAAAAAGATTGATAGCAAATAAAACAGTAACTGCCTCAACTCCAGGGTTACTTGATACCTAAGGGCTAATCCAAACATGATAGTATCTTTAAATACATAATGTAGACCCATAAACTAGTATCGGAATCAAATTACAATGTTTTTATTGACTTTCTTAATGTGTGTAATCACACGGAGATCATATTATTCACAAAATGAAAGTTAGTAGTTTGTGAGTGAAAGAAGGCAGACCAGAAATAAGGTACATACTTCATGATTCTACTTTTATAAAATTCTATAAAACGCAAACTTATCTATAATGCCAGTCAGCATCAGTGGTAACCTGGGAATCAAGGGAGGGGCAGGAGAGAGTGATTACCGAAAACAGACTTGTGAGGATATTGGATATGTTTATTATCTTGACTGTGCTAATAGTTTCACTGGTATTTGCATATGTCAAAACTTATCAAATTGTACTATTTAAATGTGTAGCTTATTGTATATCATTTATACCACAATGAAATTGTTTCCAAAAAGGACTAGCTTGGCCAATACACTACCTAAATGCATTACTAGGTATACAAGTTTTACTTAAAAACAATATATGTCTCAATAAGTATAAAGATTACCGTAGCGAACACTGTGGTGTGCCACCGAGATTCACCAATTACAAATGAAGCATTCATTCTCCCAGTTGCTGGGATTGTTATCTACTAACAGATCATACCTAAGCTCTTCCAAGAAATTTCTCTCAGCAGACAGGCACTTCTTTGACCAAGATGATATTGCCCGGAAGCTGGTAGTTGGGAGGCTCACATCTAATGACTAATGGATTAGGGATACAATGGTCCACCTTCCTTGCTTCATACGGTAATACTCTAAATGGTCATCCCAACCCCACATGGGACCAGATAAGATCTTCCATTTCACTGCATCATCATTCAACTCCTCTCTCTCCTCAATCCTGCTGCCTTTACTCCCTCCCAGGCATTTTTCTTAAAAGCACTCACTAAGAAACCATCTGCATGGAAATCTCTGTCTTAGAGTCTATGTCTTAGAAAATCCAATCTAAGATAACAACCTAATATGTTGAGAAGTTAAAATGTAGAAAACAGAAATACATATCTGAAGTAATCATTTAAATAACATTATGAAAATGTACATCAGTATTTATAAATAGCCATTATATACAATGATACAATTTTGTTTATCATTTCTTCAACTTACTGCTAGATTTCAGGGAAAAATACAGGATACAAGTACTTAAAGAAAGCTCAAGAAGGAGATATGGCTGATTGCATAATAGAATATTTTGCAGACTGTCAACTATTGAGGACGCTGGCATGTTTGGAAGAATAACTGTTATTAAATTTTAGAACATAAAGGTACAACATATTGTTATCAATCTTAATAAATCCATTCAGCATTTCAGAATAACATGAAAATATGCCAACAGAAATTCCATTTTACTATTGTTACTATCAAGAACTTGGCAAAATTTGGTTTTTTACTTTGTGAATGTATTAAATGATACAGGTAACATATATGGAATTAACTATATGCTAACTGTAGCAGGTTTCACTTTTCAATAAACGAAATAGCCGTGACAATTCTGTCTTTAGGATGAAGAGAGAGCATTTTCCATGAAAATCTGAATTGATTTTCACTATCTAAAGACATGAAACACATATGCTAGCTCTGGACGACAAAAGAAGATGAAAATGTCCTCTATAGGAAGGCCATCCAGGATGTTGAATGGTAAGAGACAACTTCCATCTAATTATAGACACATTAAAACATGGTCCGTTAACTACAACCCTTATCCTTTCCCTTTCTACCAACCCTCATTTATCCCTCAGCCATTGATTTTAAAAAATATTTTATATATTTGACACCCAAAGGAAAAAATGTAAATGAAACTCACTTCCAAGAGACTACTGCTCTCAGCAAACCAAAAAGAGAATAAAAAACAAATGTCTACAAATTTCTTCAATGTAGAAAAACAATTCATAGATCTTAAAGGCAGTGATAGGGTTTGGCTGTGTCCCCACCCAAATCCCGTCTTGAATTGCAGTTCCCATAATCCCCAGATGTCATGGGAGGGATCCAGTGGGAGGTAACTGAATCATGGGGGGTGGTCACTCCCGTGCTGCTGTTCTTATGATAGTGAGCTCTCATGAGAGCTGATGGTTTCATAAGGGGCTTTTCCTCCTTTGCTCGGCACTTCTCCTTCTTGCCATCATGTGACAAAGGATGTGTTTGCTTCTGCTTCCACAGTGATTGTAAGTTTCCTGAGGCCTCCCCAGCCATGCAAACCAGTGAGTCAATTAAACCTCGTTCCTTTATAAATTACCCAGTCTCAGGTAGTTCTTTATAGCAGCATGAGAACAGACTAATACAGTAAATTGGTACCACAGAGAGTGGGATACTGCTATAAAGAAACCCAAAAATGTGGAAGCAACTTTGGAACTGGGTAACAGGCAGAGGTTGAAACAGTTGGGAGGACTCAGAAGAAGACAGGAAAGTATGGGAAACTCTGGAACTTCCTAGAGAATTGGAGGGGTCAGAAGACAGGAAGATGTGGGAAAGTTTGGAACTTCCTAGAGACTTGTTGAATGGCTTTGACCCAAATGCTGATAGTGATATGGACAATAAAGTCCAGACTGAGGTGGTCTCAGAGGGAGATGAGAAACTTCTTGGTAACTGTAGTAAAGGTCACTTTTGCTACGCTTTAGCAAAGAGACTGGTGGCTTTTTGCCCCTGTCCGAGAGATCTGTGGAATTTTGAACATGAGAGAGATGATTTAGGGCATCTGGTGGAAGGAATTTCTAAACAGCAAAGTGTTCAAGATTTGACTTGGGTGCTGTTAAAAGCATTCAGTTTTATGTATCCACAAAGATATGGTTTGGAATTGGAAATTATGTTTAAAAGGGAAGCAGAGCATAAAAGTTCAGAAAATTTGCAGCCTGAAGATGCAATAGAAAAGAAAAACTCATTTTCTGAGGAGAAATTCAATCTGACTACAGAAATTTGCATATGTAACGAGGAGCCAAATGTTAATCACCAAGGCAATGGGAAAATTGTCTCCAGGAAATGCCAGAAGTTTTCATGGCAGCCCCTCCCATCATAGGACCAGAGGCCTAGGAAGGCAAAATGGTTTCCTGGGCCGGGCCCAGAGCCCCCCTGCTATGTGCAGCCTAGGGACTAGGTGCCCTGCATCCCAGCCACTCCAGCCATGGCTAAAAGGAGCCAAGATAGAGCTCAGCCCATGGCTACAGAGGGTGCAAGCCCCAAGATTTGGCAGCTTCCATGTGGTGTTGAGCCTGTGGGTACACAGAAGTCAAGAACTGAGCTTTGGGAACTTCTACCTAGATTTCAGAGGATATATGGAAATGTCTAGATATCCAGGCAGAAGTTTGCTGCAGAGATGGGGCCCTCAGAGAGAACCTCTACTAGGTCAGTGCAGAAGAGAAATGTGGGGTTGGAGCCCCCACATAGAGTCCCCACTGGGGCACTGCCTAGTAGAGCTGTGAGAAGAGGGCTTGATCCACCGTGTGCATGGAACAGCCACAGACACTCAATGCTAGCCTGTGAAAGCAGCCAGGAAGGGGGCTGTACCCTGCAACGCCAAAGGAGTGGAGCTACCCAAGGCTGTGGGAGCCCACCTTGCATCAGCGTGACCTGGATGTGAGACACAGAGTCAAAGGAGATTATCTTGGAGCTTTAAGATTTAATTACTGCCTCATTGGATTTGACATGCATGGAGCCTGGAGCCCCTTTGTTTGGGCCAATTTCTCCCATCTGGAATGGGTGTATTTAACCAATGCTGGTACCTCCATTGTACCTAGAAAGTAACTAACTTGCTTTTGATTTTATGGCTCCTAGGCAGAAGTGACTTGCCTTGTCTCAGATGAGACTTTGGACTTGGACTCCTGGGTTAATGCTAGAGTGAGTTAAGACTTTGAGTGACTGTTGGGAAGGCATTATTGTGTTTTGAAATGTGAAGACGTGCCATTTGGGAGGGGCCAGGGATGAAATGATATGGTTTGGCTATGTCCCCACCCAAATCTCATTCTGAATTGTAGTTCCTGTAATCCCCATGTGTCATGTGAGGGACCCAGTTGGAGGTAATTGAATTACAGGGGCGGTTATCCCCATGGTGCTGTTCTTGTGATAGTGAGTTCTCATGAGATCCAATGGTTTTATAAGGGGCTTTTCCCCCTTTGCTCAGCACTTCTCCTTTCTGCCACCATATGAAGAAGGATGTGATTGCTTCCCCTTCTGGCATGGTTGTAAGTTTTCCCTGAGGCCTCCCCAGCCATGTGGAACTGTGAGTCAATTAAACCTCTGTCCTTTATAAATTATTCAGTCTTGGGCAGTTCTTTAGAGCAGCATGAGAACAGACTAATACAGACTGTATGATCAATATATTTTACTTTCTGAGTTTACTTATTAATGCTAAACTGTATTTTTACCTTTTTACTTTTGAACGCCATTGTCATATTAATAAGAGAATTTTTTTGACCAAAGCATTTTAAGTTCTGTACACTTGCAGTATTTGATCTACAGATTTACACATCATGGACAGAAATGTTATGAAAATCATTTACAGAATTATTTAATGGAAAACGTTTCATATTTAATATATTTTCATATGTTGTACATGTAAGAAATCTGATTTTATGGCCATTGATAAGAGCGATAATGGCAGCCTTCATATAAGATACATTTCTGTCTTTTTATTTTTGATTATACCTGCAAGAAGACACATGGTCCTATGCAGCCAATAAATAGTTGTATAATAATAAAGTTATGATAATAAATGTTTATACCTTTCATGTTTTACATACACCACCAAATGCAAAGGAACTATGAAGCAGTTTGCACTGAGACCAGTTAAAACCTAAATTCTCCCCTTTAGCTATGCGGTGATCTATTTCCTGCTACATACAAAATCCTGAAAAAATGGGGCTGGAAGTAATTCCAGTGCTTTTAAACCCAATCTACAATTTAATTTCCTTTGTGACCTTTGAAACATCACTGTTATAGAAGTTCCACCATTCCTAATGCCCCAGATTTGCCACTGTTGTTTCCTTATTAAGAAGCAAAACAAAGTAAAACAAAAACCTTCACATAATTTTGAGTTCTCTTTCTTCTCAGTAAGGGAAGGATTTTCACTTAACTTCACTTATCTCATTTTTCTGTGTTCTTCAACCTTAAACTACATCCAGCCTTGTTCATGTCTCTCTTAAACTTTCTTCTTTATACATTTCAAAAGCTTTGCTCTTTTTCTGTCATCTAATTGGGCTAGATCTCTATTCATATTACTCTTTATGTTACAACCTATTAACCAAAATATTTTCATGTGGCAAAGAATTCTGATCATGAGGCAAAATGAACTAATGAGAAAAATTTGTCTTCATTTCTAGTGAAAACTAATTTATTCTTGCTTTCTCTAGGGATATTTCAAGAATTGTACTTTTGGTCTTTTAGGACTTTGAAAATGTTGGAATTGGTAGTGAATTTCTAACCAAAACTGTGCATAAAGTCAGCTGCTTCAAAGCAAGTCATAGAAGCCTCCAGCAATTCTGTGACCAAAGAAAAGTAACCCTAATATTAACCTTTCCTTTGACTTTAAAGACAATAATTTGAATAATTTCCAGGAGACTTGAAAAAATCTTCACACAAAAATAAAGTTTTGTTAAATCAATACTTTGAGAAATACCCCCAAATTATTTCTATATTGGTGATAGTAAAAGACAAATTCAAGTATTTTATGTCGTTCAAGAAATTGGCTTGTGTAGGATTGTGCACGTGACCTTTAATTTCCACTTCTAATTTTGTCACTAACTGTTATGAATCACACTTAAAAAACAAACCATGGCTATGATCTTTTTAAAGCTGTAAAGCAAGACTCAATAATTCACAGAGCTAACCAAAGGTGAGTACATAGGAATATCAAAGGTATACATTAGCAAAAGATTAAACAAGTAAGTCAATAAGGAAGAAATAGAAAGACACAGCCACACAAGCCTCAGAATACAAAAGCTGATGGTGAATCAGGATCCAGAGGAATGCAGGAGTCAGAAAAGTAACACAAATACGCAGAAGAGTGACCAGCTGGATAGGGAAGTGCAGTGGCCCTTGCTAGGGTAATAATGCCCCTCCCTCACATTGCCACAGATCCAGGTGGAGCTCACCCATTATCTTGGGCCTGGACACTCCAGGGTACTCTGGTTGATGTCCTACAGCCGGAAACTGCATGTCTTAGCCTAAAGTCTATCTTTGACGCAGAAAAAGTAGCTACAACCACATGCAAAAACAGGTTGGAAGTAGTTGCAAGAGGAAATTAATACCCTGACACCCTGAGCGGCCCTTTAAAAGTGACTAACAAGAGTTGAAATATAAACACCTCAGCTCCTGCACCTTGTCTAAGATAACTCTGAGACAAGTGTTTTATGCCTTCCCAGACTTTCTCCAGGGAATTAAGCCCTAGTTCTCACAGTGGTGTTTGGCTTGATAACATACTCTTTACAGGTTGCTTTCTCTTAACTTTCTCACAACTCCAACATCCTACCACAGCTTCCTAGAATCACTGCCCAAAGAAACTATTTGAACTCACATCCTTGTCTCAGGATTTGCTTATGTAAGAACCCAAACTGAGACACTCATAATGCAAGAATTTATATTATTAATACCAGAATCAATCCTTAAGCATGGCTAGTTTGACACTCTACATAGAGGTAAGGAAAAGCACTTAACTGGAGCAGAAAATTCACTCATTCTTTTGAAAAATGAATAAGGTACTCTTTTTTGTAATAGAGAGTGAGTGTAATGGGATACAGACATACCTAATAGTAGTGTTACAGTAGATAGCTAGTCAGATATGAGCAGGGTAGGAGACCCCCCACCCCCGCCACCCCAACCAGGAATGTCAGGCAACCATCAAGTGATGGTCAGTCAGGTGGTTATTAAACTGTGTCTTTAAAATAATAATTGGTCACAGCCAATACCAGGGAAAGGCAGTCTCCCAATAGATAAAAACACCTGAAATTGGTGATCAGCAGCTTCCCGATAAGATCGCAGGAGTTGGGCAAATGGGCTCCCGCGTGCGCACTAAGAGGCAAAATGTCATAGTGTAACTGGTATACGACCTTCCTCTGGAAACACTTGACTGGTAAGGGAACACCTCTTGAATACAACTCCAGTAAATACACCGTGCATGCTCCCCTCCCAAGTGTCAGCAGACCACTGTGCATGCAGATAGCCCCCTACCCCAAGGGAAGAATTGGGGAGAAGGTATATAAGACCATGGAAGTATGCCAAAATACAAAACCATAAATCAAAGTTCAAACAGGACACTTAATATCTCAAGTCGCCCACTTGGCCCCCTTCCAGATGTACTTTATTTCCTTTCATTTCTGCTCTAAAGTTTTTAAATAAACTTTCATTCCTGCTCTAACACTTGCCTCAGTCTCTTCTTCTGCCTTATGCCTCCTTGGTCGAATTCTTTCTTCTGAGGAGGCATGAATTAAGGTTGCTGAAGACCCGTATGGATTCACTGCCAGTAACAGGAGGAGAGAGAGTTATTCAACGAATTATTATATACCGACTATATAGTAAGTGACCTTACTCATTCCGGCTCACCATCACAATATGAGTATTAGGGTTCAAAGGACAAGCTTTTATGAAATGTAAATCTCTTAATATAAAGAATTAAAATAATATCCAAGTATTAGATTCTAAATAAATACTTTTAAAACTAGTTATTACAAGACTGTATCTAATCACAAACAGGTTTTTATTTTGTTTTGTTTTTCTCACTATCTCAAGCTGCTGAAACAAATTTAATGGAGTCCTTCCCTCATCACTGAATTCTGTAGATTTTTCTTTCAGTTGTAAGAAAATAATGCTTTCCTTTTGAAGATGTTGGCTTGGATTAGAAAAATGCTTTATTATGAGTATTGCAAAGCTACTTATTTACCACAGCTAGACAGAGACTCTTTCTTACTTTGTCATGCAGCTGCTTGTTTTTAAACAAATTTTGCCAAGAGACATAAACCAGATGGTCTTCTTCAAGGGTATCCTGTGAGCTGTGATAGTCAGCTTATGGTAGTTTTGAGCAGCAGACAGCTGGGTATGGAAAGTCATGATGCTATTTGGAAATCCAACTACCAAGTGTGCTGAAGCACAAGGAGATTCTCAAGTCAGTAAATAATAAAATTGTGACTTAAAGTTTGTTTCAGTATTCTATTTTTACAGGGGGCATTAACTTTATGCTTTATAATATTACTTTTCTGGGTAAAATAAAAGTACCCCAACACATTGAATTAGAAAGAAAACTTGTGAAAAAATGGATTCAGAATACCTTTCCAAGTGGGATCAACAAATTGTAAGTTGGGCTTTCTAACAGAGTTGTCTGTGTTTTATCAAAAATGTTTAATTAATACTGTAATAAAATTCTACTAGAATGGTGTGGTATTTCAAGTTGCAAGTCTCAGTTCTGTTTTGTAGTAGTGTTATACACCCACACTCTTGAAATGGGTTCACTAACTGCCAAGTGTATTTCTCTATCCCTGATCTTTGGATATGCCACGTGACTTGCTTTGACAATTGACTATGGATGGAAGAGAGAACGCTAGTTATAAATCTGGGTCTTAAGAACCATCATGTGTTTCTGCTTACCCTTCTGAGATCTTTAGAACTCAGCCATGGAGGAATGTGCCCCAAATATCTACTGCCATTCCAGCTTGAGCCCCAGAATGAGACACATAGATCAGACATGTTTGGTCAACCTACAGTCAGATTCTGAATCAGAGATTACTCAAAGTAGGCCTGTGAATATGAGGATAAGTGCTTATTGTTCTTTTGGGGTATGCTTGTCACACAGCATTATTGTGGTTGTAGCTGACTAATATTGATTGACTTTGGTGAGGGCCCAATAAACAGCTACCTTGGGTCACTCCTACATTACTGAGAGATAGGGGAAAGAAAATGAGATAAAAATAAAAGTTAGCATCTACGTCCTTATCAGGATGCTACTATTTTATGGAAGGTACCCAAAGAAATTCCAGAATTATATCTCTGATGATTCCAAAATTCCTTCAAAACAAAGGACACAGACTGGACCATCCTTGGTTTTCAAGTACTATGCTATAATTTTGAATATTACAGAAAGACAAGTGAAAGAACTGAAGAAGAAACTAAAAAAGCATTTCAAGACAAACAGACAAAATTTGCCTTTTTATGAACAAAGATAGTTTAAATTTATTCAAACATATAAATTACTCAAAGGCTAAGAATTTTCAAATGTGCATCTAAATTGTCATTTCCTACAAGTATCTAGCCATACTAGGAAACTACAAAGAATATTTTAAAACTTGTATTTCAGGCAGAAATCTCTCAAAAAACCACATCTGTGGCTTGTAATGGGCAGTTTTCCCTTGAGAACACTGATATTTTCAAGAGGAATTTGAGACTATCCACGGATAAACTAAAACTAATATGAAAATAATTCTTGTGAAAATTGCCTTACAGGCAAGAATTTGCAACTTTCATAGGGTAAACAGATTTTTAAAGCGTTAGAATTTCATAATTGTGACAAACATCCTCCTAGAATAGAAGGTGAAACAAGCAAGTAAGCAGACAAGCAAGCAAGCAAACCTTTCACCAGAATGTTATACTGACTTTAGTGACTAATGGATATATTTTTCTCTATGAGAGACTGTTCATGTATCTCCAATTCCCTAATTAGAAAAACATATATCCAGGTCTTAGATTATTTTATATATTGCTGTATCCACACCTAAAAGTCATGATTTGACCTTAGTATAGCGAAATGAAAGGAAATATAAGGAAATTTACCCTGCATTAATAATTTATTGAATACACTATGATGGAAATGGAGATTCTGTTAACCAAAGAGTTTCTCAAGAAACTTATTCATTCTAGAATATTACAGCTTTTGAGTGAGAAGCTTATTATATACATTTAAGGGCTCATCAATAAAATATTAACATGTATTGAACATCTAACATGAAACCATACTGCATTCCACTTAGGGGTGACAAAAGGTATATAGTACAGCCTCTTCCCTGTAGGAAAAAGTACTCCACTGAATGGTAACATGTTGCAAACAGCTATGTAAGACATATAAACTCATGATAATAACCTGTAAGATAAATAGGTAAACAGAGAGTTCTATGAATCCAGACAATGGAATAATTGATCAAGAACAGAGAAGGATTCCAAGAGGTGGTATTTGCACTGAATGCTGAATGGTGTGTAGGAATTTGCTAAGGAGCAAGTCAGGACTCCTCAAGCACATCAGAAAATCCTTTACCACTTGGCTTTGCTAAGCATCTTGTAATGAATTACAATCCATTTCTGCTACTGATCTCGAACATAAAGATATCACCTTCAAAAATTTAAACATCTTTTTAAAGTACTTTGGTCTTGTATATGAGACTTTAAAAAGTCATTATACGTATTTGTGTTGTTTCTACTGATGTCTATAGATCTGGAAGGAAGAACATAATCCTTGAGCATAAGAAATCCTATGTGAAATGCCATGGAGGCAGGCTATGTAGTGGAAAAGAATTCATAACTGGGGTCACGATATAGACTCTGGCACATACTTCATGTGTGAGCTTAAGACAATTATTTATTCTAAAACTCAAAATTATTCGTCTCTAAAATTAAGGTTCTCTTGAGAATGAAATGATATATGTAAGGCTCTGAACCCATGCCTGGCACATAGGTGTGCCTAAAAATAAGCTCTTTTATCTTATGCAAGGTCCATCCTACGTGTCCAGAAAAAGTAATGTCTTGAAATTTCAGTACATTGTCATAATATCAGCTTTAAACTTAGGTCCTTGTTTTATAGTGGTTAGTCAGTGAATTAGTAAGCAAAACTTGCTAATTAAATTTAGGTAACTTATATAACTTAGGATCCAACTTTAGTAAAATTTAGGAAAGCATTAGCCCTCTAAGTAGGAGCGCTATGACAACCAAATTCTCCATTTCTCACATTTCCTAAGCAGTAGCTTAAATCTAAGTCAGACAAAAGTTGATGAATGAGAAATTACTTTGAGAATATGGAGAAACAGAAGAGTAGGTACCTAGGGAAATGATGAAAACTTCTACTCTTATATTGGCAGAATTTAGTAAGCCAGAGTAAGATGCGGGCTGAATCAGAGTTCATAAAATTAGGAAAGAAAAAAAAAGGGAAGGGTTAACTAAAGACAAAGTTGCCCTTTTTACACTCTTCTTAGGGCTCCTTAAATAAAACAAAACAAAACAAAACAAAACAGGAGCCGGGTGCAGTGGTGTGCCTCTGTAATCCCATCTTCTCAGAAGGCTGAGGTGGGAGGATTACTTCATCCAGGGAGTTTGAGACCAGCCCCAGCAACACTCTCACTCAAAAAAAAATAAATAAGTAAAAGAAAAATAACGCTCTTTTTAAATATACATGTTGAAGACTGTTAGTTCTCTTCCAATATTCTTTTTTTTTTTTTCATGACTGAACAGTTTTTAGCAGAGCACATGTGAAATAAACACATTTCCCAGCCCCACTTGCAGCTTAGATGTGGCCATGTGACAGACATCTGGCCAATGAAGCGTAAGTGGAAATATAACATGGCAGCTCCCACGAAACTTCCCTAAAAGACAATTGGTATGCACCCTTTGACCCTTCTTCTGGCCTTCTTACATCCTTCTTGGAATGTGGATGTCATGAGAGCTCCATCTTGCAACATGTGGATGAAATTCCACCAAGTAAAGATAACTCACTCAGTAGAAAACAGAAATGAGCGGGGCCAACATATCTGCCTTGGCTGCAAACTTCCAGGGTTTTTCAGGAGAAAGAAATAGGCTTCTCTTTTATTTAAGTCATTTCTACCTTGAGCTTCTGTAACACTTAGCCAAAGCAAATTATAATTGATAAAATAAAGAGAGTTTCTGGGAAAAGTACATTTAGCACAGTTTTATTTTACAGTAATGTCTTTTAAAACTCATCTATTCCAGGTAGAGAAAAAATGCATATTTAGAGAAGGGAAATTTGTGAAATGACAAAACCAAGAAATACACAATGAATAAAGTCAAATATTAATATCAGCCTCCAAAATGAGGCTAGTCCTATGGACACAAAATTTCTTTCTGTATTAGAGTCTTTTTCCTTTGACAATAATAAAAATGTTTATTTAGATAACAAGCAGGCAAATACAGTCCCCTCATATACTGAAGAACAAGAATCATCTATGGTGAGGATGAAAATGCTTGTATACAACTATCCTGGGAAACAAAAATGTTCAATTACTTTGAGAAAAAGACTGGGGATATTGATCTATGGCTAACTCTGAGATTATGTGAATTTTATATCTAGTCAATTTCTTATCTGAAGAAAGTTTTAAACTAACCTCTAAGTGAACTGTGAAGATTTATAAGAATCTGAAAATGTTGAAGATATAAGGCAAATGATCCTGGATGAAGCGGTGATCATAAAAAGCAAATCACTCTGCAACTCTTAAGTGCTTTGAACTATAAATAGGAATATGCAGAAGATAAGCTGATGGGCAGAAACAAACTTCTATTTAATGCATTTCAAAAAGCTCTTTCACTTAATAAATACAACAAATTTTCTTCTTTAAATTCTTTCACCACCTGCTCTTAACAACTAAGAATTCAGAAGAAATTATATTTAAAACTAAACAAGGAAATGTAAATGAAGGCTAGTTTAGATATCTAATTTAGACGGTATAGTGTGCTGAATGGTTCATGTTTTTTAAAGAGTTTCAATAAGTCACAATAAGATAAGAATATTATTCATTGATAATTGGTTTGTTGTAAGGAGACGCTTTGATAGTCCAATATACATTAAATACCTCATGACACCAACTATATGGGGTTAATCTTTTGCAGTTTAAAGCTTTGCCTCTGGTAGTAAAACTTCCATGTAATTGGCATCAATAGTCAAATCACACAATTCATTTTGGGTTGCTGGGTGGAAACAAAATCTCCTCTATTTGGCTCACAATCACTCTCTCAGTGGTGTGCAAAATGCAATGACTGGCCAGTGAATGATATTTACAATAGCTAGGGATTATCTTAGATTATACAGCCTTCAGCAGAAACATAAACACTTGAACAGAGCAGTGTGAAATAGAAGATAGTGTGTGGGAGGAGGCAAGCTCTAATCTGAAATATACAAGAAGAAACTTACATATGGCAAAAAAGACAGTATATAGAGGCTACGCTTGATGGAGGGAGATTATAATAAATGACAGATTAATGAGACTTGTTTTTCTCGAAGTTTATGATGGTTTATTTCTGGCATACATGCCAAGTTGATGCTATCAAATTATAGTGTTCATTACCATTATTATCATCAAGTCGTATTGATTACCAATGTGCACTCTACTGGGCATTATATATACAAGCAAAATTCAGGTGGTTTCTGACATTCAACAACCAATAAAATAAATCAGACCAAAGATTGTAGACATATGTAGGAGAGCGTATAGTGCACAAGATACTCAAATGGAGAAAAACTTAAAGGTTAAAAATAAATTTTTAAATACTTTCAGTGTTTAGGTGAACTGGTAAGTGTTTTGGTGTGTCAGTTTATAAGAACATTGCTTGCTATATCTAAGGGAACTACTTATTCATTATTTTCTTAAAAATGAATTCTATCCAACTAGTTACTTAGTAAATCATGATTTTCAAAGAAGATCTTGAGGGTAAAAACCAGAACAGAACATTTCCCCATAAACCATGGTTTCAACAATTCAAAAAAGTGAGACGGAGTGGTGCAAGATGTCAGAATAGAAGCCTATATAACTAATCTCCCTCACTGAAACATCAAATTGTAACAACTATGAGCAGACAGAAAAGCACTGTCACCAGAACCAAAAACCAGGTACGGAATCATGGTACCTGGTTTTAACTTCATCTTGCTAAAAGAGGCATTGAGGAAAGGCAGGAGACACAGTCTTGAATCACCAACACCACACCTTCCCAATCACCCAGCACTGGACGTGCAGTGCAGAGAGGGAATCTTTGCACTTTTGGAAGGGACAGTACAGCTACTGGGGGACTTTACATTGAACTAACTGCTGTGCTGTCACAGTAGAGAAAAAAGCCATGCTGGCCTCAGTCAGTGCCTGTGCACGGAGGGAATATTTGAACTAGCCCCAGCCAGAAGGGAATCGCCCATCCCAGCAGTCAGAACTCAAGTTTCTTGGCAAGCCTCACCATTGTGGGCCAAAGTGCTCTGGAGTCCCAGGTAAACCTGAGAGGCAGTCTGGGACACACGAACTGCAATTCCTAGATAACTTCTAGTCATAGCCTGGGCTAAGAGCTAGAGGACTAGGGTGGCATGTGACCTAGGGAGACACCAGCTGGCATGGCTAAGGGAGTGCTTGCACCATTCCTCCCCCACCTCAAGCAGTGCAGCCCACAGTAACAAAAGTGACTCCTTACTTTTGCTTAAGGAGAGGAGAGTGAAAAGTAAAGAGGATTCTGTCTTGCATCTTGGATACCAGCTTAGTCACAGTAGGATAGGGCACTGGACAGTGTTGTGAGGACCCATTTCTAGGCTCAGCTCCTGGACAACACTCTCCAATCAAGAGAGATACAGTGTCTCGACCAGGCATGGTGGCTCACGCCTGTAATCCTAGCACTTTGGGAGGCCGAAGTAGGTGGATCACTTGAGGTCAGGAGTTCGAGACCAGCCTGGCCAACATCATGAAACCCCAACTCTACTAAAAATACAAAAATTAGCCACGCGTGATTGTGGGTGACTGTAATCTCAGCCTCTTGGGGGGCTAAGGCACAAGAATCTCTTGAACCCAGGAGGCGGAGGTTGCAGCGAACTGAGATCCTGTCACAGCACTCCAGCCTGGGCAACAGAGTGAGATGCTGTCTCAAGAAAGAAAAGAAAAGAAAGAAAGATAGAAAAAAAAGAGAGAGAAGAAAAGAAAAGAAAAATAGATACAGTGTCTGAATGGATGAAAAAATAAGACCCAATTTTGTGTTGACCTCAAGAAGCACTCTTCACCTATAAAGCTACACACAGACTGGAAATAAAGGGATGGAAAAAGATATTCCATGCCAATGGAAACCCAAACATAGCTGGACTAGCTCTACTTATATCAGACCAAATCGATATCAGGACAAAAACTGTAAGAAGAGACAAAGAAGGTCATTATATAATGACAAAAGGGTCAATTCAGCAACAGGATATAACAATTATATATGCACTCAACACTGGAGTATATATATATAAAGCAAATATATATACAACACTGGAGTACAGATATATAAAGCAAATATTATTCGAGCTCAGGAGAGAGAAAGACCTCAATACAATAACAGCAGGAGCCTTCAACAACCCCACTTTCAACATTGGGCAGATCTCCCAGACAGAAGCTCAACCAAAGTAGTAACATTGGACTTAATCTGCACTATAGAATAAATGGATCTAATATTTACAGGACATTTAATTCAATGAGTGTAGAATACACATTCTTCTTCTCAGCACACAGATTATTATCAAAGATAGACCACACAGTAGGTCACAAAAGCAGTCTTAAAAATTCAGTAACAATGAAATAATATCAAGCATCTTCTCTGACCACAATGGAATGAGACTAGAAATCAACAATGAGGAATTTTGGAAGCTATACAAACACATGGAAGTTAAACAATATGCTACTAAATGACCACTGGGTCTATGAAGAAATTAAGAAGGAAATTGAAAAATGTCTTCAAAAAATGAAAGAAAAACCACATACCAAAACCTATGGGATACAGCAAAACTAGTACTAAGAGAGAAATTTACAGCTGTAGGTGCTTCTATCAAAAAAGAAAAAAACTTCAAATAAATCACCTAACAATGCAACTTAAAGACCTAGACAAGCAGGAGCAAATCGAACCCAAAATTAGTGGAAGAAAGAAATAATAAAGATCAGAGCAGAAATAAATGACTTTGTAATAAAGAAAACATACAAAAAGTCAACAAAACGAAAAGTTGGTTTATTGAAAAGGTAAACAAAATTGACAAATCTTGAGCCAGACTAATGAAGAAAAAAGGGAGAAGACCCAAATAAGTAAAATCAGAAATGAGAAAGGAGATATTACAATTAATACCAGATAAATTCAAAGGCTCATTAGTGGCTACTATGAGCAACTATATGCCAACAAATTGAAAAATCTAGAGGTAATGGATAAATTCCTAGACACATACAACCTACCAAGATTAAACCATAAAGAAATCCAAAACCTGAACGGACCAGTAACGAGTAACACAACTGAAGCCTTAGTAAACTCTCCCAGTAAAGAAAAGCTTGGGACCCGATGGCTGCACTGCTGAACTCTACCATGTGATAAATATTGATGCAAAATTGATGCAAAAAATATTGATGCAAAATTGATGCAGAGTGAACAGGCAACCTACAAAATGGGAGAAAATTTTCGCAACCTACTCATCTGACAAAGGGCTAATATCCAGAATCTACAATGAACTCAAACAAACGTACAAGAAAAAAACAAACAACCCCATCAAAAAGTGGGTGAAGGACATGAACAGACACTTCTCAAAAGAAGACATTTATGCAGCCAAAAAACACATGAAAAAATGCTCACCATCACTGGCCATCAGAGAACTGCAAATCAAAATGGATTAACGACTAAAATCTAAGACCTCAAACTAAGAAACTACTACAAGGAAACATTGGAGAAACTCTCCAGGATATCTGTCTGGGTAAAACAAATCTTGAGTAATATCCTATAAGCACAGGCAACAAAAGCAAAAATAGACAAATGGATCACATCAAGTTAAAAAGCTCCTCCGCAGTGAAACAATCAATAAAGTGAAGAGACAACCAACAGAAAGGGAGAAAATATTTGCAAATTACCCATCTCACAAGGGATTAATAACCAGAATATATAAGGAGTTAAAACAACTCTATAGGAAAAAGTCTAATAATTAGATCAGAAAATAGACAAAAGATTCGAATAGGCATTTCTCAAAAGAAGACATACAAATGGCAAACAGGTGTATCAAAATATGCTCAGCATCACTAATCATCACAGAAATACAAAGCAAAACTACAATGGGATATTCTCTCACCCCAATTAAAACGACATATCCAAAAGACAGGCAATTACAAATGCTGGAGAGAGTGTGAAGAAAAGGGGACTCCTGTACACTGTTGGCAGGAATGTAAATTAGTACAACCAAAATGGAGAATAGTTTGGAGGTTCCTCAGAAACTAAAAACAGGGCTACCATATGATCCAGCAATCCCACTGCTGGGTATATATCCCAAAGAAAGCAAATCAGTATATCAAAGAGATATCTGTACTCCCACGTTTGTTGAAGCACTGTTCATAATAGCCAAGATTTGGAAGCAACCTGAGCGTCCATCAAGAGATGAATGGACAAAGAAAATGTGATACATATACGTAATAGAGTACTATTCAGCCATAAAAAGAATGAGATCCTTTCATTTGCAACATCATGGATGGAACTGGAGGTCATTGTGTTAAATGAAATAAGCCAGGCACAGAAAGACAAACATCACACGTTCTCATTTATTTGTGGCAGGTAAAAATCAAAACAACTGAACACTTGGAGATAGAGGGTGGAAGGATGGTTACCAGAGGCTGTGAAGGGTAGTGGGGGGGTTGAGGGGGAGGTTGAAATGGTTACTTGGTACAAAAAATAGTTAGAAAGAATGAACACCACCTACTATTTGCTAGCACAACAGGGTGACTATAGTCAAAACAATTTAATTGTACATTTTTAAACAATTAAAAAAATACAATTTTACTGTTTGTAAAACAAAGAATAATTGCTTGAGGGGATGAACATCCCATTTTCCATGATACTTGCATGCCTATATCAAAACATCTCATGTACCCCATATATATATATGTACCCCACATATATACACATATATATGTGTAACCCATATATATATGTACCCCACATATATATATATGTACCCCACATATATATATGTACCCCACATATATATATACCCCACATATATACACTATGTATGTGTGTATATACATAGTAAATCTATTTATATATAGTATATGTTTATATATAGTATATATTTATATATGTGTGTTTATATATACAGTATATATATATATATATACAGTATATATATATATATATATATACACACTATGTACCCACAAACGTTAAAAATAACATTTAAAGATAAAAAATTTTGAAAAGTGGAACATAAATAGAAATTTGTACTTCTCTGTCTGTCTACTGTATCTTCTTCTGCATTGTCCCCATGACTGAATCCACGGGATTCCTTTCTTCCAGTCAGTAAAACAGTGGCCATGGAATAGGATATGAACAACTTTCTTAAGTTCAGGACTTGCTTGTTTTTTACCCCTTACTTCCTAATTCTACCAAGCTCAGAAACCAACAGTAAGTATTTTGTATTGGCACATATACCTATACCTGGGTTGTGGAATGAAGATCCAGTCTTGCATAAAAATCTTCAAATATGGTAGAGATTAATTCTAAGACTGCAATGATAATCCTTCGTGAGTTGTCAGCATCCTGTATGTGCTTATCATGTATCTTCCCAACTACATATGGCATTGTGACAAATAGAAGAGGCTGCTAATGCTGCTATAGCTGAATGTCTCATTTAGGAACAAACAATTCTGGAAAAGCTCCCAGATTATGCATCTGTCCCTCTAGCTTCCACTTTAAAAGATAAAATTCTATAGTGATAACGTGAGGATTAGTATACTATTCTTTCCTTATATGGGTAATGTGAGGTTATTTCCTTACCTTGACATGAAAGAAAATTATTTATTGAATGTCTCAGTAGAAAGATTACAACTGAGATAGCAAATTCTTATCAGAAACTCACATTAGGAATGGGCTTGCAGAATTGCATGCTCATTCCCTACTGTCTGAATACAGAGACGATTAGGGACTTTCTCTTCGAATCTGATTTATTTGGTTTCTACTCCTGTTTTCTCTCCTTTCGTTTCTTTCATTTTCTCATTTTTCTTCATGTAGCACAAATGGCAGCCAGAGCCTGTGAGTGCTTTAATGCTGCAGGCTTACTGCTATGAGAACTGAACAATGGAGAAATCCCTGGGGAAGCAGCTTCCAACTGTCCCACCCTCAGCATCCTAATGACCTGTGGAACTGTGGTTCCAGAATGGTGGTGATAAATTTGGAAAATACTTTCTCTAAAGCAGTAGTGCCCACATATTTATCTGACAGGCTGTACTGGGCAATTATAAAATGTTCAGGGGTCCATGGTGAAATGCCAAAAATAGAACAATGCGGTATGCTTTTCCTAAAGCTACACCTTCTTTATTAAAACAATTATGATTTATGTCCCTCCTGTACTTAAAGTACATATTTATTATTTTTAAAATGTAAGTATAAATTTTAGTTCAGTCCAGCATTCACACAGAAATGTGTACACATCACAAGTGTATGGTTCCATAAACTTCCCTAAAGGAAACACATCAATGCAAGCAGCATCCACATCAAGAAACAAAACATTACCCAGTCCCTAGAAGCCTGCTTCAGCCCTTGTTAATCACAACTCACAAAGGTAACTCCTATCTGACCTCTAAACTCCAAAGTGCCTAATTTTTTAGTTTCATATAATAGATTCATACAGTAAGTGTTCTCTTATTTCTGACTTACTTTATACAACACTGTGTTCATATTTTATTTTTCAACATTTCCTTTATTTTATGAAATATTATTAATAAGAACATTTGATTAATTAAATGCCCTTATACTTCTTTCTCTAATTTTTTTAGAGGTTTCTTTTTTTGCTATAGAAATGTAATAATATAGAAATAAATACTCTTAGTCTCATGTCTATTTTACATCATATCTAAAGCTCAGAACCATCTTGAATTTAACTACTTATATGGGTGGGTAAGTCAACCCAACATATCTGACTAAGTAGAATTCCAAGAAGGAAATACTGATTTTAAAACATTACTTTCTTGATGTTTGACAGGGACCTTGTTGTTACACAATAATGCCATCTTATGGCTGTACAGCAATTTGTAGTCTAGAAACTGCCTTCATTTTGATGATAGCATTTGAACTGTTCTACCCTCTTAGTCTTTGGGAAGTCATTTTCTAAAAGTGGGAAACACTCACTAATGGCTTACAGGATAGTAAAGATGGTATCAGAAAGAAACTAACGACAATAGAGTATAACATCTGACATTTAGTAGGCCCTTCTTAAGTGTTCATTGAAAGAAGAAAAGAGCTTTGTTTCTCTAATCCCAGATAGATCTTATGTAAATTCTTTGTTTTTACATGTTTCCTATAGGTATATTTTATAAGCAGTTAGTTACCCACCCGAAAATCAATGAAAACTGAATTTAGCAGTAATATTAATTTCCCAAAAAGTTAACTAGTAATCTTACATATAGGCATATCTATCCATACGTTCATGGTGCTTGTGGATTTACTGTTGACTGTGTTGACTGTTAGTGAACAATCAGAATGTCCGTGAAAATAAGGCTTTTAATACTTTGATGATGTGTAACTTGTTGAGATACATGTTGAAATTCTATTTGCTGAAAGACAATGTATGGAAGCAGGTATGTTAGATAATGAATGAGCAGTCATAAATTAGTCTGGCTTTTTAAATATCTTCCTGTTCTCATCTAAAGCGTAATGTCTGTTTTACCTTATGACATTTAATAGAGATGACTGAACGAGAAATACGCAGATGTACTATTTAGTATGTGCTTAGGCAAGTCACATAACATCTTTGAAATATAGTTTTCTCCCTTATAAAATAATGAAGCAGGGCAAAACCACTAAGGCATTTTCTAGCTGTAAAACAATCCTGTTATAAATTATTAACTATCTCTAATAATTTGAATTATGGTTCAGCAAATATTAACATCTCTCCCCCCTTCCACTGTAGGAAGAGTCTACTTTCTCATTCTATTGATGTCAGATTTGGCAACGTAATTTGCTTTGGCCAATCAAATGTCAGTGAACTTCACAGGAGCAGAGGCCATGAGTGTTCTTGGGAGGTTTAGGTTTATACTTTGGTGACTGGTCATGAAAACATGTCACTGACCCTTCATCTTAGGTCCAGAGCAAAGACATATATAGCAGACCTTAATCCAACATGCATCATGGAACCTAGCTCTACTAACCCACATCTTGAAGCAGAGCTTCCCGGCCAAGCCCAGCTGAGTCAGTCAAGGTACAAGTAACCTAAACAGCCAGAAATGCCTGTTGTTTTCAGTCAGCAAGTTCTAGGGTGATTTGTGTCACAGCATTATTGCGGTCATAGCTAATACTACCATACATGTACCATTTAAGAAAAATACCAATATAGCCCTTCTTACTAGCTCAAATTTATTTTGATTTAACCCAAATTGGCTTACTAAAAAACTCAGCAGATTTTTGTTGAGAACACCACATGAAGGCTGTACTGAACATTTGTGTATTCAGGAATGCATAGCTTCTAAATCTCTCCAAGGATTCAAGAATCTACCATTGTATGGGACTTAGTAGGACACGAGGTGTTGACTGCCACTACAATGAAGAACAAATTCAGCTATTTATTTTCCCTGATCTCTGGCAATAAGAACCTAGTTCTGTGGCCTAAACCTGTATTGTAACAGCAGTCATCAATCTATGGCCCATCAGCAATTCCAGCCTGCCATCTGCCTTGGTAAATAAAGTTTTATTTAAACACAACATGTCCATCCATTTATATATTATACATGGTTTTTTTCACCCTAAAACAGCAGAGTTGAGTAGTTGTGACAGAGACTACATGACCTGCAGGGACAAAAATATCGACTAACTGCCCCTTTACAGAAAAAAATATCCATCCTCTGACTATCAGATGCTTCTGCCAGAGACCCTAGTTGTAGAATGAGCGACACACAGCAAGAATAAATAATTTAGATACTTTTTTTTTGCAGTGACGATAGCAAGCAATGTCCAGTGCAATGGTGCTCCTGGTAAAGCAATGGACTCTGGCATGACAGCAAAATAATTCAGATTTACCTCATAGCTTGATAGTAGATATATTCTGGATGCCTAGCCTGCTCTTCCTTTATAGTTTCTGCCCATTGTTAAACCTAGCTCTCAGGCTTTCCTATTGATTCCATGAGGTATCTGATATCCTTCTAGTAATTTATATAATTCTACCTAAAGTAACTAGAGTCACTTTCTGTTAGTTGTAACTCAGAACCTTGAATGGTCTATAGACCTTGACTTATTCCCCATTCTTAGTAAGATAGCTTCATTCCATTCCCCAGGGATCTTGTTCTTGCCCTCTTGTACAGCTCCAGTCTATCAACCCTTATTTTACTGGCTGGTTGTGCCTTTTCTCTCCAAGACTGTGAAGCTCTTCAAAGCAGGGACTGAGTCTAATTCTTCTCTCTGTAGTTCTCAGGGAAATTTGAAAGCATGTAAGAATGAATTAACAGATATCATGACTATCAGAACCATAAGATCACCATTTTCATCATCAAAATTGCCAACCTTAACTGAGCCATTATCGTGTTTAAGCAACCCACTAAGCTCCCCACATATATTGTGTCAGATAATCCTCATAACAACCCTGTGACATAGACACTATTCTTATCCTATTTTATACATCAGAAATGTATGGAGCAGAAGATTTAAGAGACTTGCTCAAGGGCACATAGATAGCAGAAAGGCCAGAATTCCAAAACGGGTTGGAACTCTAGAGCCTGTGCTTATAAGCAATTACTTAAAACAGTTTGTATCTGAGATTGTACTAAAAGTCATAGGAAATTTAACAGCTCCTGACCAATTCCTATAGAATGTCAATGGAAGTACAATTTCAACCTCTGGATAAGGACAGGGTGGATCTATTGGGGCTAGAGAAACTCTATCCTTTGTCAAAACCAGAAAAGTCCTCAGAGTTGGGGTGAGATTTCAGCGACCCTCTCTGTGGAATGGCGTTAGTGTTTCTGTTTAAGTCTAAGGTGAAGGTAAACTGAAAGGGAAATGTCCATATGACCCAGTGAGAAGGGAATACCTGGATCATTTGCCAAAAATTACTCATGAGTAAAGCGGAGGAGAAACCTCAAAAAGCAGAAAGCGTTATTTCTACTTTAGTGCAAAACTGGTAGGTGTATATAGAAGCACAGTAATCACTGGCTATCCAAGAAACCTCAACGGTCCTTAGGGGATGGTGTGGGTGGCCTAGAATGCTTGGAGAAAACACTGACTATAAGAAGACAAACCAGAGGGGGAAGAACTTCCCAAGAGTGGAATGAACATCCCAAAAGATGGTAATGAAACTGACATCATTGGAGTAGCCCGCAGAGCCTCATAATGTCTCAATGTGAAATGCTGGGAGAAAGTACACCATGGTGGCGATATAAGTTTATTCAAATATTTTTGTTAATTTATTTTAGAGAGAGTCTGTTACTCAGGCTGTAGTACAGTGGCACAATCATGGCTCGTGGCAGCCTTGAATTCCTGGGCTCAAGTGACCCTCCTGCCTCAGCCTCCCAAAGCACAGGGATTACAGGCATGAGCCACCATTTTATAAGTTTAAGTTTGTATTTGTAGCATATACACAGAGTGGCTGAGTTTCTTTGCCTTTATCAAGCCTGGCTTTGGATACTGTGGGACCAGCTATTTTCAAGGAAGTTGAGATAAATCTGTTTTTTTGTTTTGTTTTGTTTTGTTTGAGACGGAGCCTTGCTCTGTCACCCAGGCTGGAATGCAGTGGTGGATTTGGGCTCACTGCAGCCTCTGCCTCCTGGGTTCAAGGGATTCTCCTGCCTCAGCCTCCCGAGTAGCTGGGACTACAAGCGCATGCCACCACGCACAGGTCATTTTTGTATTTTTAATGGAGACAAGGTTTCACCATGTTGGCCAGGCTGGTCTCGGACTCCTGACCTCAAATGATGTGCCCGCCTTGGACTCCCAAAGTGCTGGGATTACAGACATGAGCCACCGCACCTGCCCTGGAAGGTGCAGTGAGATAAATCTGGTAGACTATCCAAAGGGGAAATATTCTCAGGTTTCGGAGAGGAGGCTTGAGTCCAGACACATTGAACACCCACTTTGTGCTCAGCACTATATCAGTCCTGAGCATATAACACAAATAAAACATAGCCCTTTTCTATAAGGAGCTTGTGTGGGAGGCAGAAAAGTAAACAAATTGATTACTATGTGTTAGGTTTTAGGAGCAGGCACATCAGATCATATATTCTACACGGTAGCCACCAAGTCTGGAAAATTTACAAATGCATAAATGATTTATTGATATTAAATTACATTAAATGATGAAACAATATCCAAGTTTCCAGATGTTAGGAGCGACTAATAGTTTTAGGATTTCTAGAAAAAGACAACATCTGAAGTGAGACCTGAAGAACAGGCAGGTCAGAGGGAGTACAAAACACTTGGGCATCTGCAAATTGATTTAATATCGCTAGAACATAATTGGAGGGGCTTGCTATAGGGCAGGCACGAAGAAATAAGCAGTGAGGCTGACCAGATAATTTTGCACAATTAAGGAGTCAGGGTTTCATTCTCAAGGGAATGAGATTATAGTACCAAAGCTCTTACACTTTAGAAAAATGACGGCCACTGAAAGATCGTTGAGAACAAAGTGGAGATAATCACTTGAGACAACTGAGATTAATGCTAGAAATCTCTCTTTAGGTGCCTGATGTAGTAAACCAAGAACTAAAATAGGAGTAAAGATGGTTAGAAATGGACAGATGTAAGAGATACCATGGAGGTTCCCTATAATTATTAGACGAATGATTTGATTTCCTCTGAGAATAATTAAGAAGCCTACCTTGAGGATAAAGACTTCTGAAATGAATCACTTTAAGCTGTTAGAGAACTTTATTACTTTTAATCTAAAAATGTAAAAGAAAGAGTAATCCACTTCTTGTGATGTGAAGCTAAATAATGTAATTGAATTTCTGCCACCCCCCAATTAAGTCAACAGCTAAATATTTCAATTAAGATAAAAAGAAACATGATTTTAAATCAACTTAACAAATTCCCCATGGCAAAAAAAAATGTGGGGGAGGGTAATGCAAAGTGTAAAGTGTCACCCTCCAAAATATAAATAAATGAAAATCAATTTTTTTATTGATAGGTAGTATTTTAAACATGTTAATCTAAGTATCAAACTCCTATAAATTTGTAGATACAGATTTGACTAAAGATAAATATGTTATATCGAACAACTGTTTATAGCACCTCAATGCCCCAATCTGATTTACGATTACCTGAAATTTTAGAAGATATAATGCTTCAACATAACGCTAAATTTAATACTGAATAATTTCTACAGTTCAGCTCATTTGTCTGAATTGTTCATCATTATTTGTTCTCATTTTACTTACCATTTTTCAATGAGAGTGATACTTCTTTTTCCCTGTCTTTTTTCCATGGAGGGTACTGAAATAAATTCTACAGTTCCCTGAAAACAAATCATTTCTGCAAGTATCAAGAAAAATATATGTGTTACCTACCCTTGTCGGTCCTTGTACATTTTGTTAACTTTTTCCCATTGGAAATCAAGCTGGGAGAGAGCTTCCTGTAGCTTCACCCTTTCCACAGGCGTTGCACTTTGCAATGCTGCTGTCTTCTTGCTATGAATAATGTCAATCCGACCTGAGCTTTGTTGTAGACTATCTTTTATATTCTGTAATATAAAAATTTTAAAACAGTAAAAAAATGAATTAGCTGTCTATAGAAAGAGAAAAATATATATATATATACAAATCCCAAAGGTAGCAAATGGTGTTGCAATTCTTAATTATTGACTTTTTAAAGTTAATAACCATG